>NC_000010.11:55143095-55294610 GCF_000001405.40 Homo sapiens
CTCTCCTGCCACCATGTAAGTGGTGCCTTGCTTCCCCTTTACCTTCTGCCACGATTGTAAGTTTCCTGTGACCCCCTAGCCATATTGAACTCTGAGTCAATTAAACCTTTTTTTTTTTAAATAAATTACCCATTCTCTAGTAGTCCTTTATAGCTGTGTGAAAACAGACTAATACAATGAGGATGAAAATACAATATATATGTATACCTGATAAAAGAGAAATAGATTGACTTAAAAATATTACTACAGAAGTTCTACTTTCACAGTTTTTGAGAAATAGATATAAAAGTAATTTAAATTATTTTGAGTTACTAAATAACATGAGATAGGTTCTGGTCACTGGACTTTTTTCTTGACACACTCAAACTGTATCATGACACATCCATCTATCAATACTTTAGATTAACTTTATCGTTTTCCTTTTGAATTGAGAGTGTATTTTCACCATGACTGCTGATTTATCACCGTGTTTTGCAAAAATAAATAAATAAATAAATTGCTGAAGAGATAGTATGGAGATCACATTAACATTTGAATTTTTTTTTCTTAGGGAGGAGACTACAGATGTGAGGGTTCTATATTTCAAGTAGAGACCAGTAATTGCATAGCACTTTTTGAGTCCCCTGACTTGAATTAACCTATGAAACAAGCTGCTAAAATTATCAGCCAGAAATTTGTTTTCAACCCTGGGTCAAACACTATTTATTAAGAAGTTCTACCTAGTGGGTACTACTACAGGAGATAGTGATTCAAATATGTTGCAATTAATTCAATGTACTTGCCAAATTTTACAAGTTGAAACCAATGCCCCTGGGATCTTAGCCCTTTTTACTGACCTAGTTAGACATATTTTTGAATTACTGAAACAAATTTTCATTAGGACCTAGAGAAATTTCAGAGTCCTATCTTGGGTGTAAGGGGAAAAAAAACACACAACATATTGTGTTGCAGATAAATATTCCATGTAGAAGTTTGATGACTGGGCACACTTACATGTCAGAAGATGTTGCTATGTATAAAAATGTTTTTAAGTCTCAAACTGAAAGATTGTCAAAGCCAATATAACTGATTTTCTTCTATCTACGACTGACTCATGACCTAAGAATGGATATATACAAGCTTGTACAGTGAGTCAGATTCTATATGACAAATTCTACTCTTGTATTACGGCTGAGAAAAAAAAAAATCCACTGTGACATACATTATGTGAAGGAAAATAATAGAACAAGTCCTAGAGCTCAAAAACATCTCAACTTTGTCTGCATGGAAGCAATATACAATTAAGAATTGGTGTACACTACTGGCTTTCTTGCTGCCTTGATATCTCACTGTTAGGAAGCCTAATTAGGGTAAGTATAACACAGAGGTGGATCTATTGATCTGCAGAACTTCCTAATGAGATTCTTATCTGATAGAGGAAATTGACTTGGACAAAGAGGATTGATGCAGACATGGCTCTTCTCCTTGAATCAGTCCACTTGTAAAAATAAGGTTAGACCCAGAGCAGGTTTTAGGGTTAAGATTGTGTAATACTGACCATAAGACCAACTGATATAGTCAATGATTAAAAAGTCATTGTTTTTTGCAGACTTTACTATAAACATGGTATGATCCAAATCTGTGGGAGTTTGTAATTGTCACAAGTTTCAATTTTAAACAAACAGGGTTATATAATTACTTGCTCACATTTATTTTTATTTGCACGATGCATATTAAATATACTTTTTAAATGATTTTTTATTTAGACATTCATTACAGTGCTCCATATTTTATTTAAAAAATAACATATAGCAGACTTCACATATTTTTTTCCAAGGAATATATCCAGAGGCAAGTGAGAAAAATTACAGCCATTCTTAATAAGAGAAGAAAAAAGAAAAAAAGAAATGCATTTGGATTATAACTACAGAAATTCTCTATTAACATGACAAATATAAATAGTAGGCATCTTTTTGTGGAAGTCTGGAAAAAACTTACCTTGGACAACTACAACAGAGTAACACATTTTAACACATTATTCTTTCCAGCTATTTCCTCTCATGGACACTTGAAATATATTTAGATTTGTGCAATTTATTTTTCCCTCTAATTCCCAGTTCCCCATACACCATCTACCATTAATTGCTCAGAGGAGGACCAGGTTTTGCAGGATATTTAAGCTTGCAGAGGGGCATGCTCTGGCAGAAAGGGAGAAAAGGTATTCCTGAGATAAACAGGCTATGCTCAGAAAGAATTTTATTCAGGAAATTTAAATAAAAAGAGTTGAGGTTTATGACGGATAGGGAAAAAATTGGAATAAATATATTGCAGGTGATTTTATGTTTCTTTCCTTGTGTTCAAGAAATGTTAGAGAAGAGTGTGAACATTCTGAACTTGCATATTAGCCCTCAAAGCATGTTCTTTGATTGTGATATAACTTATGTAGACCCATAATTGTAGGAGCTATAAACTTTTTCTACTTTATTAATATAGAGGAATATATATATCTTTGCTGAGAGAAAATCAAGCTGTTGTGTGTTTTGGAAGTAGATGACATCCTTTGTTTCTTGGGCAGTGTTTATATCATTAGTCATATCATTCTGCCTAAATGTAAATCATCAGCACAATACGATTCCAGAAAAGTGATATCTCAGGCAAGTTATCAACAATTTCCTAAATCAGAACAAAAAAATATTATTTTCCTACTGAATAACATTTATCACTGAGGTAGATTCCCGAGATTCATAAGAAATCACTGCTTTTAAAAATAATCCAGTTAAGTACTTGTTCTTACAAACTCTTGACTGTAAGTCACCCTATCACCAGACAGAAAAATAGACAGATGTAAACAAACATACTGACCAAAGGTAAAGTAGAAATATAGAGTAGCTACAAACCATACAACCATAAACAGGAATATCTTTCCAATTTCACTTAGCAAACCAAAGAAATTTTCGAACTCAGCTTTTTTTCTGTATAATCAGCTGATAGAGTAGGTTTTACGGAAAAGTCCGCTTCTTTTTTGGCTGTGCCAAGCACTACTAACCACTATACCTTTTGTACTTATTAACATAATCTTGGTTTTGTTCACGGCAGCAATCCTCGTGGTTAACAGCCCTATAACTTAGATTAACTTGCAACTTGTTTCGCCAAATGACTCATAATTGGGCAATGAGTTCTAAGCAAGAGGTCCCTGTGAAAACTACTGTTTTTGACTGAAAGATATGAGCTCAGCTGGCAGTAAGATTTTGCCCTTTTGTTTTCTCCTTTCTTCTTATCCATGATTCATATGTGATACTCTCTAGTATAAAACCATCTTATGAGTCTGAGGAAGAAAGCCACACATTAACAATGGTAGAGGCAAAAGGAAGATGGAATCTGGATTCTCAATGGCAGCCTACGCTTAGTTGTCTTGTTACTTAGAAAAGAAAAAAAGTTTCCTGATGTAGCCCCTATACTCAGGTTTCTGCTATAGCGTTCTGTAACACGTGATAATTTGTAACAAGACATTAATAAAACAAGTGTTGTATTAAGTTATACATGAAAGAGCTTGCAAGTTTTATAAGCACCAAAAGATTACATAATACAGTTAAAAGTTTACTATAACTTCTATATGTTTTATATTAAGTGAAAGTATCATGGCCATTATTAAAATAGACATTTTGACAAAATTTACATTGTGTTTATGAGATGTATAAATATTTTAAGCAATTTATTATTGACTAAAAAACTACAAATAAGCAATTATCTCAAAAGACCAAGTGTGCATATGTACTTTTACTGACTTATGATTACAAAATTATATGAGCTGAATGTTAAAAGGAATTTGAAGTCACTCTGTGTGTATATGTGGCGGGGTGGGGGGAAGACCTGGAATGCAAAACAAAGAAATAATCTATTTTAAAAAGAATCTATTTTATTACTTTAAAATTTATTTATTTTAAATTGTTTTAAAACAAGAACAATTACCAATTGAGCAATTTATTTATTAGCAGTTGTTATTAGAAAATAAATTACAATTTTAAATTTAGATGAAAATATAATGATTAATGAAAGAAGATATATTTAACAATATAAATAGAATATATTATATGACTGGTGTGTCTAGACTTTTAAAATCACCAGTGGTCAATTGTACTTTCTGGATTTGCTATGAGTTGAGGATAAATAATCCCATGGCTTATAAAATTGACAAAAAAAAGAAAAGAAGTAAAATTAAGTATTTTCATAGCTATTTTAGAAAAAAATTCTTCACATATATGTAGTGTACCATTGTATAATGCAGAAAAATAGATAATAGTAACATAACATATAATTCATCAAATATACAATGTTACATCTTATTTTCCATAATTTTTAAAAGCACCTAATTTCAATTTTTAAAAAAAATTTTTTTGGAATGAAAATATTTTGCACGTATCTAGAAAATACAAAGTCCTGTAAAAGTGTTCAGTTTCTGGACTTTAGGGTAGACAGGTTCAAATAAGTTCATATATCCTTCTTTTCTTTCTTTCCTCCTTATGTCTCTCTTTGACTCCTTTGTCTAAGTCTCCTTTTCTCCCTATCTTTCCTCTTCCTTTTTTTTTTAAATTTTATTATTATTATACTTTAAGTTTTAGGGTACATGTGCACAATGTGCAGGTTAGTTACATATGTATACATGTGCCATGCTGGTGTGCTGCACCAATTAACTCGTTATTTAGCATTAGGTATATCTCCTCTTTCTTCTTATGTTCCTCCTCCTTCTCCTCTTCCTCCTTTTTCTCCTCTTCCTGTCTATCTTTCTGTTTAAGCCCTCACCTCCACTAGATACTCTTCAATTTTGAGGATTAGATTTTCATATTTCATTTGCTTCTCCCTTGGTAACTCAGTAGTAATTACTGCTTTCTAAAATATAGTTTCCCAAAAGGGGGGAAAATACCCTTTCTTCCTCAACTCTACCTGTATTGTCTTTTGCTCCATTTAATCATGTCCTGTAAATATGCTTAAAGCTAAAGAAAATATTTTAACAGAAAAAAATTCTGTATCTTACAGGCGATGATGGGCTTTCTACTTCCACTATCACATAGTACTGAAAATGCTACTTAATATCCCCTGTTTCTTGTACTTCAACATTCTCCCAAACAAAATTTCTTACTACATGTTAGGAAAAGAGTGGCAAAACATTTTCGTTTGAGTTGAGGTATTAATATTTATGAACAGATTGAGATTTCCTCAAAATGTAGTAAGAACATTTATTAACTGGCCCAGAAGATAGTAAGTCACAAAGTAACCATAAAAGTGAGGTACATAAATCAAGTAGAGATTAAAGCTCATTGACAAATTCTTAACATTTTTCTGACGTTGTGGACTAGGACCTATGGGATTCGTCCATTACTCAAGAGAACTATATCATCATATTAACTCATTTAAATTAATAGGGACTATTTCAGTTTACAACCCAGGGAATGGTTGACCTTCTTTGCAAGATCCACCCCATGATTTCATCGTGGCTGGTTAAGATTAGTATTAAAATTTAACCTTTCAGATCTACAATTAAATGTAAGTTACAGCACTTAAGTTTGGTAGCATATAAAGTTTCACTATGAAAAATGTGTTTCCACATTTTATTGGAAAATCTATGTCATTTAATTGTTTGAAGGACAAAGCACTGATAATGTCTGTTAAGATTTCACTCTTTTTCCCTTAAGCAAACCTTCAAAAGTCAAATCTTATATATAAAACATGAGAATTTTATACAGCAGTCTATTTCAACAAAATTATATATATTATATAAATATATATTATATATAATGGGTTTTCAGCAAGATTTCTTGAAATTGAAACTCCAATAAAGTTAATGACAGAATTTTAAGACAAATACTGATTACATCTTAGACACTAAAGAGGAATAAAACTTAGGGGAACTTGCCTGCTATATTCACATCAATGTAATCTTTATTATCTTAGATGAAAATGCAGGGAATATCTAGCTTTTGACATTAAATCTCAAAGACTAGAAATGATAGATACAAACATAAAATGTAGTGGTTAAAAAATAAGCAATATTGCTTAAACACATTTCAATATGTCTATCTAGTTTATAATAACTTAAATGACAGAAAACATGATTATTTGCAAAGTATTAGAAATGGAGCAGTCTTTCAATAAATGCTTCTAAGTTAATTAAAAATAAATGTTAATAAATATTCAAATACTTAAAAAATATTCTAGCACTTATTTAATAATTTTTACATAAAACATACATTTTCTTTATTCAATGAAAGCCTTAAAATGTTGGTAATATTATAAATATTACCAAAAACGTATAACCTTTTAAAAAATATATACTTACACATATAGTATCAATTTGAAAATTAGAAGGCAGAATACAACAGTAAAGTAAAATCGTTTTATGCATATTTAACAAAAAGGATGACTTGTTATTACATGGGGGGAAACTTATTTCCATCTATAACAGTTAGAAATCTATGTTGACAGTGACAGAAATAAATGATTAAAACCAGTTTGGACAGTCAAATAAATTTATGGCTTCATATACTGAAGGTTCCCATAGAAGTTTAATATCTGATATCCAATTCTTGAGTCGTTTTCAGGTTTTCACCAGGGAGAGATATCTTTTTCTCTTCCTTTCTCAGATATGCTTCTTTGGTGTTAACCTCCAAGAAGACGTCAACCTTTTTTTGAGCTACTTTTAGGTTCTATTCTAGTTTCAAAAGCCCCAGAAATTCTGACCAATTGACTGTGACCATCTGGAAATACATCATGTTCTTAATGTTCTCAATCTTAAATTATGGTCAAGAGAATGGTATGTACATATTGGATTACAATTATTAAACACTGAGGGCCTTCACCTGAAAATTGGGAGCATTCTCACCCAAACACATGCTGGAAAAGCTAGTCCAACTTGGTGGGGGAGGGAGACAGAGACAGCGAGAGTGAGCAGAGAGAGAGAGATAAAGAAGAGAAGAGAGAGAGAGAAGTGAAGAGGAGAGGAGGGGGAGGGGAGGGGAGGAAAAGATAGAAGACGAGAGGAGAGAAGAGAAGAGGAGAGAAGACAAGAGAAGAGGAGAGAAAATGCACTGAATGGATACTCTGGAGAGGCAACAGCCAATCGGCCAACCTGAAAATCTGCCAATTCAATTTGACAGCTGCCAATCCAAGGGGGTTCAGGAAAAACAAAACATGTTTTAATGAGAAAACAATGTCAGTTACTGAAAAGATATACACAAGATAAATGGCCTGCAAAAACAGAATTTCTGAAAGCTCTGTGATACTATCAGCCTTCCAATTTTTATGTTGTTTGCTTTTTGGCACCAGCAAAGTCAAAATAAAGAGTAATTGAAAACTTGGTTATTTAAAGTCCAAAATAGAGAAATAGGGGTTCTCCCCCGCCAAATATTGTGTATTTTATAGTTACAGTCTATTTATACAAAAATATATTCCACAGGTGAATGATTCAATTATTTGCACATACTAAAACTATAAATTTGATATGATTTCACAACTGGAGGGTAAAAATTATGGTCTGTTTACCAGCAACTTATGTAACCATATAACATTGAGAAGCCAGTATAATGCGTAATAATGACAATGTCATGATATTTCTCTTAAATGCAGTACTCCTTGACGGTAGAGATATATAAATTACAATTAAAATATCTTAAAAAATGTTAATCATCATTGGAATTCAAGTTTTACTAGTAGTTGCTCAGAAAGAAAATACAAGCAGTGAGTGTAATATTGTTAATGCTTTACACAGCAGGAATGGAAAGCCAAGAGCTCTCAGTTACATTTTGAAGCTGTTTAATACTAAAATAAGAAAATTAAATGCAACGCATGGCTGAATAGTAACTGAGACACTGTGGAATTCCAATTTCACATTTGCAGCCAATTTATCTCTTCATCCTTCTGAAGTAGATAAATTGAATATCACAGTTAATAGTAGGATAGTACTTTTGAGTAAAGCCAAGTATTTGCCTATTCAACAATGATACAGATTCCATTGTGCCTTTCGTAGATCCCACGGCATATTCTTTAAGAGCAAAAATTAAAAAGAGGAGACAAATTTGCCAGATATGTTCCCCTCTTAATTGTCTTATCTGGCAGAGAGTAATTTCTGTCATTTCTCTAATCCAGAAAAGATGTATTTTGAGTCTATTGAAAATTTACATTTAAGTACTTGGTAATTGTATAATGTTTTTCAAGTGACAGAAAAGTGGAATTGACTAATTTTTTCTTCAAAAACTTTGAGCACATATGCATCCTCAAAATTAAAATGATAAGGAATTGGAGAAATAAGAGCTAAGTATTCTATTAAGTGACTTTATATATGAAAGTTTTAAAAATTGAGGCTCTCACTAGCCAGATAATTACTTGACTAATAAATACTAGTGATCTAAAAATACACAAGAATGTAGATATTCATTAGTTAACTCTTTTCCAGTTTTGTGGTTTATGTAGCAATTTAACAGACAGGCAAAATACCTTCAGACCTTCAATAAGATGATACTTCACTGTCTTAAATTTATTCTGGAATAACCAAAGGTAAAAATTTAATAGTGAATCACAGAGCCTACTCTATCACATGACCATGTGGTAAGATCAAACAGATTTTTGCAGACTAACATTTCCAGAATGTTGTATTTTTAAATAAAATATAACTGACTTTTATTATGTTTCTGTTTAATATTAAGATAATGTTAAGAACTGATGATATAAAGAATGAAAAGCCATGATTCCAATTCTCAAAGATTTTAGGATTTAGTAGAAATGACACATGTAAATAGATGAGAAGAATACCAGGTGATAAGGATAAAGACAGGATATAGAAAGGATGTGTTTTTTTATTAACAAGGATGAGAGGTAAATCAGGGAAGAAGTAATGACTGAGTTGAACTGTGAGTGCTATAGGAGACTTTGTTATGTGGATGAAAGAGATGAGGGTAGATGTGGATGGGATGGTAAAAGAGTCATTCCAGTAAGACAAGCACACAGAGTCTTGGTCATATTAGGTTTTCTTACAATTATAAATATAGATCGCTTTTCTGAAATTCTTGATTACAGATGGGTGCCAAAATTCAGATGTTTTTAAAAAGTAATATATTTCATAAACTGAATATAACATCTCATTCAGATGTAGTCTGAAGCTACATCTCATAATCAAACATAATATTTCTACAGTGAAACATGAATATTTACCTCATGTGGATAAATACAGTCAAAATGAGTCACATAATAGGTCCGTATAGGTTTTGCCATGTGGCAAATTACCAAAAAAAAATCTGTGCTTAGGATTTTTTCTAGTTTTGAAAATTTGAATAAGTGACTATAGACCTATAATTACTCAATTCATTTTAATGGGTATATAATTTTTAAAAATGAAAAGAGAAAATGGTGGCAGATAAATTGGAGAATATAGCAGAAGCTTGAGGTCATAGAGCAGATAAATGTTAGAGCCAAGGTTTAAAATGAATAAGATTAAGACATAAGTCAATCTTTCCTGCTAGATGACACAGGTCTTATGTGTAGGATGATCTGAAAGCTAGAAGGATCTTCAGGGGATTATTGGACATGATTCTAATGAGAGATGATGAGAACTTGAACTGTGATAGAGAAGACAGGTTCAAGAAAATAGGAAGAGTTAGATATCTTAATTTGATATTTAAAAAGAAATTTACATTTGCCCTAAGACTGCAGTTAGCAATTGAATAGAAAAATAATTGTAATATTTTAACTTAAATTCAATGACTATATCATAAAATAAAAAAGCATAGCACTGTTGTGATTATGTGTATGGACACATACACACACACAATAATTATGTAAATTACATAACTTGGTTAAGGTTAAAGATATAACTCCCTCTCACCACCATGAATTTTTTTTTTAATGTAGGTATAGGTAACTTTGTGTTTAGAAAGCCATAACTAATAAATAATATACAAGTAATTTTTTAAAGATACAAAATATGGTTAAATCCAAGATAACAAATTATCATTATGTTAATACTTTACTTTGAAAGGTGTCATTATTTTCAAGACGTATCATTTAACTGATCTACTTTATCTAGTTACCCACACCTATGACTTCCATAAGTGAAATGTCTTTATCAGTGAAAACAAAACTAGCCTGGATAAATGGAGTAGGATTGAAGACCTAAACAAAAAGCCATTCTTGAGCTGCCCAGGTTGTGTCCTGCCCACAGTGGCCCCCAAGATCACCTGAGTGGGAGGTGAAATCCAGCCTGCTCTTCCCTTCACCAAGTTGCTCACCTTGACACGGGCTGCATCAGCCTGGAGGACAGGCTGCCTCTCCCAAGTGGTTCTGCCATAATGGCTGAAATTTTGTAATCATTACTGGGTGAAGCAGAATGCAATTTTTCACCTTTGTAGTGGGCGTATAATTTATAACAATAAAAAGAGAAAATGATGGCAGATAAAATAGAGAGTATAGCAGAAGCTAGAAGTCATACAGCTCTTAATTGTTAAAGCCAAGACCCTCAGTGGAGGGTCTGTCAAAGGCACCTCAGTACTAATAGCCACTGGCGGCCTTGTGCTAAACTCCCCTTTACTTGTTCACTACCTTCATAGGTTTAAGGGCATCAAATACTGCTCCTTTTTCATTTGTCTTCCACAAAACCAGTTTCATGTAGTGAAAAGAACATGGGTATCACCAGCACTGGTGCTTGAGGTTCAAGAACATGAATGTCTAGGTTTGAGCTCTGACCTTGCCACTTTAGAGCCTAAATGTTGCCTTAGGCAATACACAGTATACTGAAGAAAAGACAAGTTCTACTTAAACAAGTCAGCAAAGCATTGTGAGCCAGAGTTGTCAAATCCTTATAAGGATGGAAACACATTTAAACATTTACAAATTGGCTTTCTCATTAAAAATACTTCAGTTCTGAAAATCACTAAATCTATATCTAAATTTGCATACTCAGAGTGAGAAATTACCATGTACACGTTCATTAAATGGGTCGCTCCTATACAATTTTCCTATTATACAGCCTAATTTCTGGCAGAACATTGAAGTACATTATTTGTACATATATTCAGATAATTTTAGAGACCACTAGGAGATAAATTGTTAAAGTGAAATCAATTTTTACACTACTTAAGTATGTAAAAAGAAAATATGAATTCATCTTTTACAGTGTTAGCATCTTATATATTTCATACTATAATGAAAACAAGTATAATATTAGTCAAAACAAATAAACTTTAAAAAATGAATTTGTAAAAGTCCGTTCATTTGTATTAGGGATAACGTGTATTCATGTATATGAATGGAGAACCCTGGGGCAAATCAAGAATAAAATATACAAAGGAGACTACTGGTACTCTATAGATAATCAGAAACAACAAATATAAATAGGCTCACACTACAAAAATAGACTTAATTACCTGTAAAATTTGGCTTACCGAAGCTTACTATGCTTAGTACTTGGTTAACAGTAAAGCAACTAGCTTTAAAGTTATCAGTTAGTGAAGGGTGCAGCAGCTACAAAGAGGATCAATAATACTATGCTTCATGCCATGTTAACAACCAGGCAGCATTCAGGGATTCCCTCATATAGTGCTATAGACCACTCTGAGGAATATGCATAGTGGATAATTGGGTGGAATCATAAAAGGGCAAATAGAATTTTCATCCCATATAAATATATAAATCAAGTATGCACATTTAAGAACTGCTAGGATATCACTACTGTCTGCTTTCTCCCTCTAATCAATTCTCTTTACATCAATGTAAATAAGTTAGTGTATCAGTGATAGTTGCTTTACCTCCTCTACCAGTTAGTTTCATTCAAGGTGTGGTTCTCAGATTGCAAGATGAAGTAATTCACACCCCTGACATACTTAAGAGTTTAATTGAACTTGTTGTGACATTAACAGCCTCCTGCTATAAAGCAACTATTTTTAGTTCTTGCAACCATCACAAGGGGACAAGACTGCTTCTGGCAGTACAGAGAGAAGAGATGGAATGTCAACCTATAGATGTAGTTAGGTATAATAGTATAGATACCACATTATTGCAATAAGGATTTTAGGAGGCAAACAATGAAATGGTCCAACATGATGAATGATAAAATGATAAGTAAGTGAGACATTACAGAATATATGTCTAAATGTTAGCAGCAGTTACTTCGGTGCAGTTACTTCAGTGGATTGTAATTACAGGTTTTTCTCTCTGTTTACTTTCTTATTGTTGTTTCAGATATAATTTTATTATTTATATGTTCTCTGTTTAATCTCGTCTTAGTTATTATGAAGTGTTATTTTGATAAAAATTTAGAAAACTGAAGAGAAGAATGGGTGAAATTTAATGAACACTAAAGTTCCAGGTTCTTGCACACATTTCTAAGACAGTGTTCACAGATTTGGCTGTGAGCTTTCTGGCAACCAATGCAAAAAAAAAAAAAAAGCAATAATAATAAATTATAAATAATTAATAAAAATATCATAGATCAGAAAAAGGAAGTACTTCAGGCTTCAGGCCTCATTTAGGGGCAAAGATAAGTATTTCTTGACAAGGTCTTTAAAAGTTGTGTTTGTAATAAATATTTTTAACAACCATCCTTTGATATAAACAGAAACATAATTATTGGGGCTGTTTCCTTAAAGAGTTTGTCTACATGAAACTATCCCAAGGATGCCAGAAGTACTCATCAAGTCCCTGATGAGTAAACTGACAATTCAGTGCACATAGTATGTCTATACAAAATAAAGAAGCAATGATCCTTACATAATGTTTTGTAAAACCAGCTTTTGATATATATTTTGCTGTAAAGATCAGCTATTAGCGATTTCTGACAAGGTACTTCAATAGAGATATTTTTCACTAAGCCTCCATTTACATGATTCAGCAGTCAACAAAGCCAGAGCTGCAGCTGAATCATCCTAGAGGAGCTGAAAGAAGACCTGCAAATGGATGGCAACAACACGTGATCACAGGAAACCCACGAAGAGAACAATGATTTCCCAGAAATAAAGGGGTCTATTTCATACATACAAAGGACCTACACTCCAATCCATTGCACAAATAATTTATATCTGCAAAATGTATGTATGGATAATGATCCTTCATGTGAAGCTTGAGGCTAAAATATACCAATGAAGCATTCAAGGAATATTTAGCTTTAGGAGGTTTCTATCTTGTTAAAACTTTTGGAAAAATTAAGAAAACATACGATTTTAGGAAAACTAATGAGATCATTGCCACACAGATATATTAAATAGGCTAGGGAAACAATGGAGGATATTACATGTACTGATGGTTGTGGTCTTTGGTATAGGTAAAGCAACTGTGGCCAGTTTTCCCTAAGGCGGCCTTCTTCTAGGTTGAATGGTAAGTAGTTGCTGATTTTTGACCAATTGGCACCTCCATGTGGCAGTTTTATGTGTTTTAACCTAATAGTTCATGAGGACAAATTTATTTTATTCACTCATGGGAGAATCTGTCTTTATGCTTTCTATCAGGAGTTAGAATCCAGGCAATAAATATACCTACGTGCACATGTAAAATTGACTCTCTTATTAGAGAAGTAGAATAGGTTTTACTTATTCCCACTCTGCATCTTTCTGATTTCAGTAGTTGCAATCTCTAGAGATCACTGTGATTATGGGTAAGATGATAATGACCTTATTCCAGAGGGGGAGTTTGTAACCTAAGCTAAGTCAATAAGCCCTACACACAATCATCTATTGGTTCAGAAATGGATATGTTACAATGGTGGGCTAAACAGAGAGAGGTTGGTGACTGTTGAAAGTGTTATGCATATAAATTTGAAAGTGGAATAGGATAGGCTGAGATTATGAGGGAAGACTGTCTTAAAATGAAGTCATGACCAATGAAGTAAAAGCTGACAGACAGTAATATCGCTAAACTCTTGGGTCAGCCCTTGCCTGAAGGCTGAAAGGAATTCTAGACCTTCAGATTCATAAGCCAATGAATATGCTGTATTCTGTGTGACAATTTTAGTTATGTTTTTATTACTTTCATAATAAAGTATCTTAACACATATGTGAAGGCAGTCATTCTATCTATATCTATCTATCTATCTATATAAAATCATTAAAAACATATTAAGAAGACATTTATGCATCCAACAGACACATGAAAAAATGCTCATCATCACTGGCCATCAGAGAAATGCAAATTAAAACCACAATGAGATACCATCTCACACCAGTTAGAATGGTGATCATTAAAAAGTCAGGAAACAACAGGTGCTGGAGAGGATGTGGAGAAATAGGAACACTTTTACACTGTTGGTGGGACTGTAAACTAGTTCAACCATTGTGGAAGACAGTGTGGCGATTCCTCAGGGATCTAGAACTAGAAATACCATTTGACCCAGCCATCCCATTACTGGGTATATACCCAAAGGATTATAAATCATGCTGCTATAAAGACACATGCACACGTATGTTTATTGCGGCACTATTCACAATAGCAAAGACTTGGAACCAACCCAAATGTCCAACAATGATAGACTGGATTAAGAAAATGTGGCACATATACACCATGGAATACTATGTAGCCATAAAAAATGATGAGTTCATGTCCTTTGTAGGGACATGGATGAAGCTGGAAACCATCATTCCTAGCAAACTATCACAAGGACAGAAAACCAAACATCACATGTTCTCACTCATAGGTGGGAATTGAACAATGAGAACACTTGGACACAGGAAGGGGTACATCACACACTGGGGCCTGCTGTGGGGTGGGGGAAGGGGGGAGGGATAGCATTAGGAGATATACCTAATGTAAATGACGAGTAAATGGGTGCAGCACACCAACATGCCACATGTATACATATGTAACAAACATGCATGTTGTGCACATGTACCCTAGAACTTAAAGGATAATTTAAAAAATAAATAAATTAACATAAATACATAAATATTGTGCAAACTATTGGTAAATTTATTATGCTCTATAGTTCCAAAACAATTTAGATTCAAAATCACACAAATATGTGTGTATGTGTGTGTATATATATATATATATATACACATATCTTTTATAATTATTAAGTTGCCACTCTAGAAGTGAAGAAATTCATGTTTTATACTCACACACACACGCACACACATTTGTATGTATACAAATTATATTTCTTCTCTTCTAGAATGGCAACTTAATAATTATGAAAATGTTATATGCAGCTAGTGGTAATGAGTGCTGGGTTTGGATTTCTGATCTGGTATATGGATACTAATGCTTTGGGATTCTACTAATGTGTTAGATGTAAACAGATGTGAGACAGAAGTAAAGTGGTAGGTGGGGGTGATGGGGAATAATATTACTGACATTCCACATTTTAAACATTTCCAAATCCTCTGTTACCTTGTGAGGGGAAATCTTCATTCTTAATGACCCAAAAGTTATTTCAGCCATTGATTATATTCCAAGACAGAAGTGCCTCCACCACCAGTTTCTCTAGTTGTGGTATGAACCTCAATGTTCAGACAAACTGAATAACAGCTGATTATAACTGACAGGCTTTCAGAGGGTCTGGGGTCAAAAATAAAAGCTTTTAAAGTGACAAATACATGAAATCATTAAAGAAGTGGTACCTAGTAGCATGATTCAATTTGTTCTAAGTAAAAAAAAAAAAGAAAGAAAGAAAAAGAAAAAAGAAAAAAACAAACTGAGTAACAGAAGCCAGAAGCTGTCAGAGGCACTTGATATATTTCTGTGATGGCATTTGTAATCTCAAGGGATTGAGCAGGGAGCTTTATGTGGAAATGTGTGTGGGGTGTGTGTGTCAGAAAGAAAGGGAGAGAGGGAGGGAGAAGAGAGAGAGAGAGAAAAAACAAGAGCTCAAGATATAGACAGAGAAGTGCTAAAGTGTTTTGCTGTTTGATGAAGCAATTTTTAAAATATCACCTAATTTGGGCCTTGCAACAAACCTACGCAGTGTGAAGGGCAGTTATTATTATCCTCATTTTAAAAATGATGAAAGGGAGGCTGATGTCCTCAGTGGCTAAATGACTTTAGTACAGACAAATAGCTAGTGAATGGTGGTCTTGGGATTATATTTCAGATCTTCTGACTGCAAAGTCCTTAAAAGTTTTACAACTCCTTCATATTATAATGCACCACTCATAAAAAAAATTAAATCTAAAAAGCTGCTAATATGGTTTCAAATGGAATATTTTGTCACATCCTAGACTGATAAATCCAGTTGTATCTATCTATATATAGTTATATATATATCTCTTCAAATTTCCTTTAGGAGGTAAGATTACCATATCTATCTATCTATCTATCTATCTATCTATATATATATATATATATACACACATACACATTATATATATTATAAAGATATATATCTATATCTACCTATACATACACTATACAAAGATCTCTCTCTCTATGTTATGTACACACACACATACACACACACACATATACACACACACAACTAGATTTGTTAGACTAGGACGTGACAAAATAAATATAACCTGGTAAATTTATTGAGAGAGAAAAGAAAAACTGTCTTTTGTAAATGTGTAAATAAATATATATATATCTTAAAGAGATATATATAAAGAGATAAAGAGATATAATTATATATCTTTATAAAGAGATATATTTCTTAAGATATATCTATATTATATATAGATATTGTATATTATGTATATATTTTAAAGAGATATATAAAGATATATGTGTAAGTACATATTAAGAGATATATATAAAGATATAATATATATAAAACATATATATTACATCTTTGTTTATCCTTTTGCAAACGACGGTTTTTTTTTCCTCTCTCAATAAAATTATCAGGTTATATTTATTAAGGTGAAAAATAAATATATGAAGTAGTTTGCCTAAAACCATCTTATGTGCTTCTGAACTTTCTCATAAAACACTTAAACATTTATTTGGACACCTTTAGGCATCTTTAAAGCTACTCCAAATCTTCTTCTACCCTTTCAATTCCCCCATGAAAGAGAATAAAGCCAAATAATTGTTGTCTCTGTTTCGCTACCAGTGAGAAGCGGCCCTGTGATCCAGTTCTGGGTCATAAAATATCAATGTAAAAATTTGTGCTTCTGAGAAAGTTTGGCTTTCTCACAGTAAAGAGGAAAGCTTTCGTACAGATTTTACTTTTTTCTTGCTTTAAATTTGAGCACAATGACTAGAGAGTCAGCAGTAATCTCTCCACCTAAAGGAAAGTTGAAAGCAATCCGGGAGGCAGCCCTGACATGTTTGCACTACTGAAAACATACTAGCAACTGCCATCCTCTGGATTTGTCTTGGTGGGAGGTGGAGGCAGAGGGAAGGGAGGTGTTGTAGGTTTTACTGTTTATATTCATTCACATCTGAAATATCCAAATAATGCTTTTTTTGGTCCCCAAAACTCTCGAAACTACTTAACACATGTGCTATGTCACTGCTTAGGACAGACAATATTAACAGCATCATCAGGCATTTTAAATATGCACCATTCTTACCTAAGGGCAAATGGGCCCCTCTCAATCAAAGAATGAAAGGAGTCCCTATCATGCTAACGTTCTTCAGCACCTTTGCATTTCTGTTGCATCAAGTATATGGCACCTTATAAGCATCTTGTTGATGCAGACTGACTTTTCAGACTAACGCTATATGCTCCTGCTAAGTGACTATTTGCTACCATCGCCACCTCCTTTTCCTTATTTATGCTCTTCCATCTAGCAGCAATACTTTCTCATAATTTTCTCCTCTGTAGCACTGCCTGTTGACGTCTAGGAATACTCTTTACAAGCTTATCTACAGCAATATCTCTTATTTAAAGCCTTGCCTGCATTATCTGTCATTTAAAGCCTTGCCTGGTACTTGTAACCAAAATTATGTTCTTCCTTTTAATCTCCCTGGGGAAATTGTTACTGCTCATGTGGCATTAATATCACACATTTTCTCATATTATTACGTGCAGTAGACACATTCCTTGTCATTTGCAAAATTATCACCCTCACTCCCAGTAGACCATAGAGCTCGTTCCCTGAGGGCAGGAAGAGTATGTGATTCACTTTCCATAGTCATACAGTATATACCACAAAGGTGATAGGGGTGGGATAGCTATGGGTACCAAGGCTGAAAGAGTTTATTCTCTGCAAAAAGTTATTCCCTTCTTCATGCCCTCCTCTACTGCTACAAATTTCTCAAGAATGAGAATAAGCAAAGAGGAAGGGCTATCTTATGGATACAATTTTAGAGAGTTTGAGATTTAAGTACAAAATCTAAAACAGAGATTTCCAAATCAGACATTTTTTAAAACTACCTCTGCATAATATTGGCGGGGGTTGGAAAATTCCAGCACACAGGCCAAATCCAGCCCAGTGGGCTGATTTGATAAAGTTTTATTGGAACCCAGCCACATATTTGTTTCTATAATATCTAAATCTGCTTTTGCACTATAAAGGAAGAGTTGAGTAGATGCCAGAGAGACCCATACAGCCTGCAAAGCCCAAACTATTTACCCTCTTGCCCTTTATAGAAAAACTTTGCAAACTGTTATTAGGAAGGTTATAAAACAATGTTAGAAAAACAAATTTTTAGCATTTTTCTTGATGGCAGAACTTCTCTAACCCTTTCATTACTATTACAAATTTTCATATCATTTTCCTGAGCTGTCAAAATTATTTCCACCACAGAAAAATTTTTAACGGACCTTATCTTCTCAGGACAAGTGATCTGAGGATCGCATTTGGCAAATGCTGCTTTAACAAAGTGCAAGAAAAAACAATTGTTAAAATGATTTGCAGGTTTCTCTTCAAGTAATTGCCTCATCTGTTAATATTCAACCCTGTGAATGCGCTTATTATTCTAGTAATTTTCTAGGACACAATTAAGCCACATAGAAAACTGTTGTGGCCCATGATAAAAGAAATACTTAAGCTCCCTTCAGATAAAAAGTTACAGCATACCTTGTGCTATAAACAAGTTAGGTGGTAATTATCTGAGTGATGTGGATAATTAACATCAAAACAGCAGCAAATGTACTTGAGGGAGAATCTATGATGCTGGACTTAAATTATTTAATCTAATTTAAATGGAGTCAGGAATACCAGACTTTAGATACATTAATGTGGATAGATCACACAGTTATAAGTTCCGTTAGATGTAGAACTTCCCGTATTTGCTTATAGTTCTTAAATTACTTTCTTTAACCTCAGTGTTTTCCCTTAGAAACTATGGTTGGTCTCATTTATATCCCTTCTAAAATAACTATGTTTCTTTAACTTGAATAAACATAGTGTTGATGTAAAAAGGTACTAAAACAAAATGTATTTTTTTCCAGAAGTTTTAGAATTGTGCACAAATTATTTAGTGATCAAATTCATTTAACCGAACAGTAGGGAAACTGCCTTTGCAAAAATGGTAACAGGGAGAAAATTATGACAGTGAAAGAGATCTGACCTAACCAACTCCATCTTGCCTTTAACCTCTAAATTGCCCTTAGTCATTCCTGGGCATGGGCCAAGCTAACTTTGGGAGACATTTAGTTTATAGTTTACATGATAATAGTCCTTCCCAGAAACTAAACTGCCTTTGTAAAACTAATGAAAGTCCACCAGGTTAGGAGGCTGAGAAGCGCCTGAATATTGCTAAGACTCCTGTCTTGGGGTCTGGATTGCGACCTCTTTCTGGTAATATAACCTCAGACCAGATGTCTTCCTATTGTCAATGGAGAGGCAGCATGATGCAGTAGAACCTACTATGGCTGTGAAGTCAGACCCAGGTTTGAGTCTCAGTCCCTCTGCTTAGTATTACACAACTTAGGCTTAAACAATTACCAGTCATTGTTCTAGAGGTTACAAGAGCTGCAACTTCTCTAATTATTTTTGTAATTAACATCACTATTTCAGAACCTAAGATTTGCTTTTTAAGGTGGTTCTACAGACTTTTGCATTTCTGACAACCTGATGACTCCACCCAGGCCAGGGACTATTCTGTGGCTCCAACTCAGAAGCACACTCAGTCCAGAAGGACCATTTTCCACACCTTATCAACCAATCAGCAATTTTCCTAGCCCTCTGCCTGCCAAACTGTCCTTGAAAAGCCCTAGCCTCCACATTTTGTGGGAGGCTGATCTGAGTAGTAATAAAACTTTAGTCTCTCGTTTAGCCAGCTCTACATGTATTAAACTCTCTCTATTGTAACTCCCCTATCTTGATAAATCAGCTATATCTGGGCAAGATGAACCCATTGGGTGGTTAGATAGGTCCACAAGGAATTATAACTATGCTGATGCATGTATACTCCAAAGAGACTACTTAGAACTATCTCACAAAGTTATATTCAATATATAAAGACCCACAGCCTCAGATTTATACATCATGAAAACTTATTGATTTTATCAGAGGCATTCGAACCAAAGAGACTCCGTTATGAAGAGGGGCTGGGAAAAATAAGGCTAAGACCTATTGGGCTGCATACCCAGGAGATTAGACCTTCTCAGTCACAGGATGAGAAAGGATGTTAGCTCAAACTACAGGTCACAAAAACCCAGCTGTTAAAACAGATTACGGTAAAGAAGCTGCCAAACAAAATCTGCCCAAACCAAGATGGTGAAGAAAGTCACCTCTGGTCATCCTCAGTAGTCATTATTCACTAATTATAATGCATTAGCATGCTAAAAGACACTCCCACCAGAGCCATGACAGCTTACAAATGCCATGGCAACATTTGGAAGTTGCCCTATATGGTCTAAAACGGCAGGGAGGAACCCTCAGTTCCAGGAATTGCCCGCCCCTTTCCTGGAACACTCATGAGTAATCTACCCCTTGTTTAGCGCATGATCAAGAAATAACTGTTAAGTATACTCAGTTAAGCAGCTCATGCCACTGCTCTGCCTATGGAGTAGCAATTCTTTATTCCTTTACTTTCTTAATAAATCAATTCTTGTACAAGGGTCAAGAACCTTCTCTTGGGGTCTGGATTGGGACCCCTTTCCGGTTACATAACCCCAGACCAGAGGCCTTCCTGTTGTCAACGGTGAGGCCACACGATGCAGTAGAGCCTACTATGGCTGCGGAGTCAGACCCAAGTTTGAGTCTCAGTCTCTGTTTCGTATTACACAACTTAAGCCTTTACATGAGAAAAAATATCTGACAAATAAAGTTGGAGTACTTGAGTACAGATACTAAAGGAACTTTATCTCGTATTTTCTCAGTCAGTGGTATAACTGGGTTTCACCTATTCAACATAAAATGTATTTTTTTTTTTAAATATTCTTTTTGGTCAATGTTTTGTTTCCTTGACCTGTTAAGACAACTGAGAACATCATTAATAATACCTATCAATGTAAAATGTTGTTTTGAATAATTTATCTGTTAAATATATTTATTTAATATAATTATAATAAGAATTTTAAAGATATATAAGATATACAAAATGCTGTAAGAAAAATAATTAAGTAATACAATTGGAGTAAAAAAGTAACATCTTAGGTTAAGTAATTGAAATAAGTATTGAGGATATTTCTGCAAAATTACCAAAGTTGTTCATAATTTTCATAATTCATGCTCTTGTTGATTTATTACATAACAACAGTATTTTAATTGTCCAAGGAGAGAAACAGATTTTCTTTGTACTAATGTCAGGACAAAAATAGAAATCACAAAATCTCAAAAAGGAAAAACTAAAGATGTCTTATGTTTTTCATGACTACCATTTTACACCTCTGATGAAACTGAATCAAAATGGCCTCATCATTATTAGTCATCATTTGTACACACTCTTACTACGCAAGCGGATTGAAAAGGTGTACGTGTAGAGTACTTACCCTAATCCTTCAAGGAATTTCTTACACAGAAGGGTAGAGAATTGAGAACTGTTACATATTAGAGTGTTTGTATTGGAAATTTTGATACTGGTCTATAATTATCTATTTATCTATCCGTCATCTATCCATTTGTGCATATGAAAACATATGAACCTATATGGTATTAATAATTATTAAATAATAAGCTGTTTGTGCTACATTTTTATTTGAATGTCCTGAAAGAAAGTTTATCATAAACTCACCTGAACTCTAAATAGCAAGAATCTTGGGGACATGAAAATTTTGTCTTTTCAAGTATTCGTTTCATGATTTTGTATACTCAACAAACGATGAAATTATAACTTTAAAACAATTTCATGTGATTTTTTTGCATGAAAAAATTATATCTGAAATATATTGTTACATAGGAAATTAAATATGCATATATGAGGAATAAAATTATGGTTGAAAAATATAAAGCCTAAGGCTCAGCCTCAAATCTGTTTAAGTGTACTGACACAGAAATGTCTTAGGTACGCAGAGAAGGACCTATAGCACTTTTAAAACTTGAGCATATTATTTAAAATATAATTTATTATTACTAAAAGAGAATGTTATTTCAAATCTTTATTTTTATAAAAACTCCACAAATCCCCCTGCAAAACAGCATTTTATACATTAAAAAGTATAAAATGGTAAAATTATTTTTATTTTTAGTATTTTAACATATTCAGTAGCAAATAGTAGTAAATGCCTACTTTGCCACAGCTTTATGATAAATGCTATTCATATACTCGTGGATGAAAGAGAGTTTTTTCATTTTTTCTGGAGCCAGGAGCAAGAGATAAATTAAGCAAGTATGATAAGCAGTCATGTGTTTATATACACATAACATATATGTGTATCATAAATTGCAAATTACAGTTATATATTTCTTCTTTAATAATATTTGATTTCCTTAAACATGTTCCAGTTCTGAGTTTTTATTTATAAATTTTATTCATTACTACCTTGATTTCATAGACATTATTCTATTTCTGTACCTTTTTCCATAAATTTCTATTTCGGATTCTATTTCAATGGATTTAAAACATTATAATACCACTAAAATACAATTCTCCTAACTTTCACTGAAGCTATTGTTACCCAAATTTTATTTTAATTTCTATTTTGTTGCTCCAATGTTATAAAAGCTATTTCTTCTGTAATTGAAGCACAAGCCTCACTTCAGAAACACATAAAAGAAAATTGATTTTCATCCTGAAAATGTCAAACTTCTGCCTATAATACTCAGCTATGGTTTTCTGAAACAACAAAGTTCAAAAAGAGCCATCGACCTGATGGCCCTTTGACACACAATGATGGATGCAATGTGTCTACTACTTTACTGCCAGAATGTTCTCTCCAAGAGAATGAAACAATCAATGAAGAATAATAAATCTAAACTGGGTAGAAGGTTTGCTTGTTTTAAATGTACTAAAAGAGAAACAACAGGTATTTCACTTCTCTAGGGAAAGACATTTATTTACTACTTGATTAACTATTTTCTCTCCGTCTAGCTTATGTGAATCCAACATAACATATATCTGCTTAAAGACATTGAGCAATGCCTGGAAATTTAATTCCATACACAGTTCTTGAACTTACTGTGAAATATAGATGTAATGTATTGTTATTCTTCAAAGGAGAAGGAAAAAATTATAAAGGAGGATACCACTTTACTCACCCTAGTGTCGTGTCCTTTTGTCAACCTCTAGGTCTGTCAACTTCAACTGTTTCTAGGGAATGATGTTTCCATTTTCCTGTAGAATAGAGTTATTGATCAATACCACATCAAAATCAAAGTCGTTACTCTAGTGCAAAACATAGGAGCAATTCATTTTCTTACAGATTATGATTATATTAAGATTTCTTGTGCTTAAAATAAATTCTTGCAAATTATCAAAAGTAAATGAGTAAAAGATTGCAAGAATCTTAAATATAAGTTTGGAAGTGGAAGACTTAAGTCTAATTTAAAACTTAACTCTTAGAATGCATATCTATGCCTCAGGTTATATTCTTTACCCAGGAAATGAAAAACCACTTCCACCTGCATATTTGGTATGACCAGAGTCTGCCATTTCACCAGTCTTAACAACGAAGCACTGCATAAATTCTCCTTAAATGACACTTCAAATATATGATGTTTTATGATATGGTGTACATATTCAAGACAATTAAGGACAATTATATAGATTGAAAGTTACTTTTGATTCCTTAGCATTTTTATTTTATTTTGTTTTGAGACAGGGTCTTGCCCTGTTGCCCAGATTGGAGTGCAGTGGCACAATCACAGCTCACTGCAGCCTCAACCACCTGGGCTCAAGCTATT
Source organism: Homo sapiens (assembly GCF_000001405.40). Lineage (NCBI taxonomy): Eukaryota > Metazoa > Chordata > Mammalia > Primates > Hominidae > Homo > Homo sapiens. Next base: position 55,167,221 of record NC_000010.11, read on the forward strand.
CTCCCACCTCAGCCTCCCGAGTAGCTGGAACTACAGATATGTGCCACCATACTCAGGTCATTTTTATATTTTTTGTACAGTTTCGTAGTTTTGCCATGTTGCCCAGGCTTGTCTCAAACTTCTGGGCTCAAGTGATTCTCCCACCTTGGCCTCCAAAGGTGCTGGGCTTACAGGTGTGAGTCACCCAGCAATACAGCACTTTTGGATTTCAAAATTTTATACTATACCATTATTATTTTATACCAATAATTTTATTATTGCCACAGGGGCACAGCTTTTGTATTTATGCTTTGTCAAAGTAGAAATAAATTAATTTTATGATGATGTAATATAAAATTGAAGTTATAAAAGTTGTTAAGAAATTTTAACATTGGTATCTTTCTACTGTGTTTTGATTTCAAAGTTAGAGAACATGTCTCAATTATTCACATCTCTCATGCACATGTCAAGAAATAGGTACAGAAATAGATGGAAATAGCTATATTTTGTTTCAAACACACAAACATGTAGAATATAAAATTGACAGATGCATTTAATTTATGGAAAACAAAACAATGATTTATTTCTTACAACCAAAGTTTGGTTGTGATCTGCTGAATAAGTGGAAATAATTAGAAAGAATTGTTATTTTACAATGGTTCTAAGGTGAACTACATTAAATAACATCCTGAAAAAGGAGATGAATATTTATAAAAATCTAGCGCATATAAATTAAAATTTTAAAATACTTTCTTTTCATAGATATATAAAGATCTCTACATAAAATAAAAATTAAGAAATGCATACAAGTCAATTTTTATAATACTTTGGGGATTAATGTATATCTATCTTAAAGGAGAAAATAAATAGTACTATATTCAAAATATAAAAACAATAAGCAGTGTATTCAGCACTTTTTCACAATAAAATTTAAGCTTAATAGCAATATGTAAAACATAGCAGCAAATCCTTTCCAGACAAATTATGGATGAGGTGTGATGGGATCTTCTAAATATTTGCCACCACCACCCCTATCCCCGACCCCAAGCCCAGTGTGGCCCCTTGGTAGCATATGAGACAATTTTATACAACTCCAAGTTTCCATAGAACAAATTTGGAAAACTCTTGATATAAATCATTTTTAACATTCTTTAATAATGAAAGCTATAAAATGGATATTGCAAAGACTTAAGTAAAATTTTCTCAATTTGTTTAATCAACAATAACCACAATAGGAGGAAAGTTTATGCAGTGACCTCCTGACTGGACATTAGCTCTGAGTGTAGCATCAAACACCAGAAATAGCTAGATATTCCCCTAGGGGTTCTGTACATTTGTGAACAGTGCTGAACCTTCAATTAGCCTCATTCTAAGGAAGGCATTTTGCACTGTGCTTTGTGTCGATTTAGTAATACAGTGGGTGGCTTATGATTTCTGAGTCATCATTACACATTTCATAAAATATAGCAGAAATTGTAGATTTAAAAATTAACACTTAAAGCATTTAATGCCTTCAGGTCAGGGGATAAAAGATGAATGAAAGATTATCTTTTATGTGTACAGTATATGTAATTATGATTATATAAGAATTAATTTCATGTGATTGTGCACGCATTTTATCAATATAGTTCCAAAGACCAAATTATTACTTAAATGCTGACTTTTAAAACATTTCTGATACTCTAGATTTGGGGAGTTATAAATTAGATCTTAAATAGAGAGTGTAGGATTTCAATTAAACAAATAATTTATGTTTATAAAGATTGGAAAATAGGATAAAAGTCATATCTTAGAGTGAGTACCAACTCTCTGTGGTATTTCACTTATTGTGAATCTTAATTTTTAAAAACTTGTTTTTCTAGATTGATATTTCAACAGTACCGTTCTGGAGTTCTACCTAATACCGAAAATAAACATTTTTAACCGCTCTTAACTACTTCAATATTAGCTAGAATAAATAAGAAAAGAAGAGATTCTATTAATTTAAAGCATACAATTTCCCACGGATTGCTTTGGAAATGTGTGGTATAATGAACCTAAACTAGTATTAAAATGTAGTCATTGCACAGTGTATATATATTTGAAAACGTCGTGTTGCACACAGTAAACACAATTTTATCTGTCAATTAAAAAATCAATTGCTAAGAAATACATTGTTTCCTTTAAAAAATGTGTTATTCATGATTAATCTCTATGTTGTAGTAATACAGTATTTAACCAACAAGATTCATTATTTAACTACATTTCAACCCTTTAAAGGTGTCACTAAATGTGCAACAGCAGAAAGGTTTATACTGTGATCTAATTGAACACCATTCCACCTTCAACCAAACCTGAATAATCAATTAAAATTTATTAACATAAAAGCAGGTTTTATAAAAGGCAGTTTCAGTCTTCATAACCACTATCCACAAAAGGGCAATACTTTGATTTGTGAAGCCATAATTAAACACTAGAGAACTACAAATTGATACAAATATGAAACTACGTCATATGTTGCTATGTAAGTACAAGGGTGGTTGTAGGCATTTATATTACTAACTGCCAATTATCAGAGGTAATTACAATAAACAAAAAACAAATATGCACCTAGGTGTGAAGTGGAAATAGCAAACATTAGTATAATTAATTGAATTTTGAAAATCCTTAAGGATACCAAAATTAATGTGATTTAAATAATAAGAAGATTTACCTTTCTACATAAATAATGTTATTAACCATTAGTAGACATAAAATTCTATGAGTCAAATTCCATAGACTGTTACTTAAATTTACTGATAGAATAAAGGAAGGAAGGAAGGAAGGAAGGAAAGGAGGAGGAAGGACATTAAGTAGGCAGTGAGGGAAGGAGTAGAAGAGAACTTGATGCTTTACAATGCTACAGATTTTTTAATTTGAACCTACTTGAATTTTGAATGTTTTATTGTTGTTGATGTGGGTTTTGTTTTATTTGTTTTGCTTTTTGGTACAGTGTCTCACTCACTCTGTGACCCAGGCTGAAGTACAGTGGCATCATTATGGCTCACTACAGGCTTGACCTCCTGGGCTCAAGCAATCCTCCTGCCTCAGCCCCCCAGGTAGCTGAGAATACAGATGTATGCCACCATATTGGCTATTTAAAAAAAAAAATTGCAGAGACAAGTCTTGATATGTTGGCCAGTTCTGTTTCAAACTCCTTGGCTCAAGTGATCCTCTTGGCTAAGCCTCCCAAAGTGCTATGATTACAGGAATGAGCCACCGTGCCAGCCTTAAAGGTGTCTTAAAGCTGGAGAGATGATAATACCACTACCACCCCCTTTTCCGAATGAAGGAAAAGAGAAAAATGTGCTAAGAAATTTTTTAAAATGTGATTCCTAGTAGCAGGTATATGTACAGGGCACACTGGTAGAAAGCATAATTGATGGCCGAGTGCAGTGGCTTACACCTGTAATTCCAGCACTTTGGGAGGCTGAGGTGGGTGGATCACGAGGTCAGGAGTTCGAGACTAGCCTGACCAACATGGTGAAACCCCGTCTCCACTAAAAATACAAAAATTAGCTGGGCGTGGTGGCATGCGCCTGTAATCTCAGCTACACAGGAGGCTGAGGCAGGAGAATTCCTTGAACCTGGGAGGCGGAGGTTGCAGTGAGCCAAGATCGCACCATTGCACTCCAGCCTGGGCGACACAGGGAGACTCCATCTCAAAAAAAAGAAAAAAAGAAAAAGAAAAAGAAAGCGTAATTGATTTTTCTCTTAGTATATTTTCTTTTTTGGATTCCAGGATACCTCACTTCCTGATGTATCTCCTACATTTCTGGTTCCTTTTTTGCTGGTCCTTTCTCATTTCTCCATCTCTCAATAATAGAATGCCCTAGGGCACTGACCTTAACTTTCTTCTCATTTCTACATATAATAATATTCTAGCTGTTTTTATTCAACCTATGGAATTAAACATCATCTAAATCTCAAAAACACCAAAATTAGCATGTCAGTCTACTACCCTCCAGCTTTTTCCTTCACATCTAATTTAAGGTCTGTAGTCATGTCAAAATTAATATGGCCAATGCCAAGCTACTGATTCTTACAGCTCTTCTACTCTGTATAAATAGCAATTCTATTATTTCACCAGCTTAGGCCTAAATGATGCATTCATACACATGAAGCCTCAAAGTTAAAATTCACTATTTCTTGAATCTTTTTCATCCAACATTTCTATGTTCATGATATAGTCCCAAAGTCCTAATGACTCATAAATTGTGTTATTATTCTTTTCATCCTTCTAGTAACTTCATTCAGCTTAATGAAATCCCCACTTATTTTAGGCCACGATAATATAAGGCAGTGGAGGGGATTAAAATTAAAAAAACAACGACATAAAAGAAAAATGGAAAGAAATTTAAGATAATAAGGAGGGGGCCATCCTACTCTGCTATTTGGCATTTGACCAAGTTCTTTGCCTAATTACACTTTAATTTTCATATTTATATAGTAAGTATTTTGGTATGATTTCTAATATGTCTTTCAGATCTGTGATTCAAGACTACACAATTTTATGTCAGAAGTTGATACTGACTTCAAGAATTAATATTAGTCATTTGGTAGTAGATTGTTACATTAATAAGGATTTGATTAGTGATCTAGAAAAAAAATGCTATGTTCAAGATGTTGAATGGCTAAATAGTAGTGATGTACGCCAAACAATGTTCACATCAGCAGTATATTTAACCAGAAAAGAAAAAAAAAATCAATGCCAACAAGCTTTTATTAAAAATGCCTTCTTCAAACCAATAAATAATTTCAGAAATATGTTGGATATTACATTTCAAAACTTTTAGAAACAATAACATAAACTCTTCCTGGTTGCTGTGGAATGGATTTTATGACCACTTATCTTTATGTAAATCTAGAGATTTTTTCAAAAGATTAAAGTATTGTGCTTGCTTTTCTCAACACCATAAATAATATAAAATATAAATTGTCAAGAGAATAAATTTATATTTCATAAAAATGTCAGTATTAATAGGGAACCTTGACTGACAAAAATGAACACCTAAACAGAAAAAGAAACTCTTACTCACTATAATTATTTATTGGCATTATTTCTTAAACGTAAGTACTCCTCTAATTAAAATATTGCAGCTTTTTTTTCAAGATAAAAGTACAAAAGTGTACAAATAAAGGCATGACCTTTGATTTTTGAATTTTTTTTCTGAGTAAAAGATAGGGCATAATATCCTAGAAACAGCTAAGAGAACAGTGTTTTGTTCAAAACTAAAGTGATTAATAAATGACTTTTGAGAAAGCTTACTATTTTGCATAACAAGATGTGCAATGAATGGCCACTTCAGAGCATTTGGATATTATAAATCATTATAACACCATTTTGAAATTTAAAAGGCCTTCTAATACTCAGCATGCTACAATAACTCCATGAAATTATTTTTGGCATACTTCAAGAGTATGTATTTAGTCATTACATTTTCCTGCTGAGAGAGTTCACACAGAACACACTATTCTTTAAATTATGTTTTATAGAATATTTATGGTATCATTAGGATGTAACAAAAAAACTAAAAAGTGCCCAAAGGAGAGATGGGGCCTATGTATGTTAAAACAAGGACAAAATTTAAATATATATATATCTATTACATATGTATTTCTTTTAGATTGTCTCTGCTTGAGAAAGCTGTTATTAGAAAAAGGGCACCATCTTTGAGAGTTGCAAGCACTTTTAGAAGTTCTAAAAGCCTTTTAAATGCAAAGGTCTACAAAAAAGGTTTGTTTTATGCAAATTTAAGCAAGTCAGCTGAATCATATTGCAAAGATGAATGGCTGCTTATTTTGATTCAGATTTTAGGTCATTCTTTCACATACAAATGGCCATATAACTGTATTTGACTAATGCTGGGGACATGTATCAATTCTGCAAAAAATTGATTTTGCTTTGTAATTGGCAATTAAAAAAAACACTTTAGAATTCCTTGCCACTTTTTTTTTTAACCTCCAGGTAACATACTGAATCTTTACATTTAAATTGGCAAAGGTCCAATAAGGACTTAGAGAACTATTTTAAGTCATAGGGAGGGGAAGTGACAAAATAGGAATCCTTTGATTCTATATTAGAAAGATTATGTGTGTGTGTGTGTGTGTGTGTGTGTGTGTGTGTGTATGTGTATGTAGAAGGATGGGGGTTAGGAAGACTGTGCTTATAAACATCTTCTTTAAGATATGTAAAAATTTATATGCCCATTCATTGTTTTGCAACCTTCCCTGATTTCCCTAATCTCATAGAAAATCATAGTTAATTTCATAGGTAAAAATTAATATGACATCGTTTAATTTGTAGTTTTTACATACATGTGTGGTTGAAAGCTTTAATGCATTTGCTTTTCTTAAAATTATCAACTTTCTCAATTTATCCGTTTAAAAAAACTATTGTATAACTTTTTAGCATATAAAAAGTTATTAGAGATATTTATTGAGCCAGTATTCATGTTGTTTACATTTTTGCTAGATTCCTTTTCTTAGTTTGTAGTATGATTTCATTCTGCAGCATTTGACATAAATGTGAAATGTTTATATGTTAAAAATGTATCATTTTTCCTTTGCGTTTTTTCTTCCCTTAAACTGAAACTTTACTCCTTAGTACAGATTTTTTGATGTTTCATTCATCTATCTATTTTCATATTAGAAAATTTATACCAATACATTTAATGTATATGAAATTGATTTTGATGTAAGGTAAGTGTTTATGGGTCCAAATATGAATTACTGCATTTCAAAGCTTTATTATTTCACACTTTATGGTACATTTTGCTGATCCATCATGGAAACAAAAATATTCAATTTTATAGACAAAAGTAGATCTTTGCTATAAAAGTAGAATTATATTCTCAAATCCTTGATAATAGAATACTGTTGTATAACTATTCTTCATTACCATGACATGAAATCGATTTTAAATTGATAAATGCTTACTTTTCTTTTTTGGAAGGCATCTTTTAGTTTGGAATTTAGATGTGAAAACTACTACCAATTGAATACTGATGCTAGCAACAGGAGACAGGCAAATTCCTAGGCAGAAAGGACTCAGGGTCCCCACTGAAACCCGATCTTGAAGGCAAGGACAATTTAAAGCCTGAAAACCAGGCTGCCAGTTCTGAAGAATCCACGACCAGAGTGAGAACTTCTATCCTCATCTTACCCACTCTCTCTAGATTTGCTTATAATTCAGCTTGGCCGAATTATAAACTGCAGGACAGAGAAGCTTGGCCTCCAGAGGAAAGTATTTTCACACTGTCCTGCAGCTGGACCTTTTCTGTAAATGAGATGGCCAAAGTGTCCAAGGTCGCATATGTGCAGGCTTTCTTTGCCTTGCATGATATTCCAAAGCTTTGCCAACATTGTAGAATTGATCTAGCCCTCCTAGTGGTCATCTCAGGAGAGGCTGCAAACGGCAATCTCAAGGGACAAGGGAAGCAAATTCCAGAGCTGCCTCCAGCAGGCGAGTCCAGTTTCTCTGGTCCTGTTCCTCCTGATCCATCCTGTCCTCCCTATCCATGTTCTTTCTTAACTTGTCCCATCCTAGAAATCCTCATTTTAAGTGGGTCCCAGCCTCACTCATGCCCCTATAAGAGATGCCTTGTGAATATGGCCCTATTAAGGTTTAGGTCCCCTTTTCTCTACAAGACTTAAGACAAATTAAGGGGGATCATGTTAAGTTTTCAGACTACCCTGGCAGGTATATAGCAGCTTTCCAGAATTTAACCCAAGCATTTGAAATCTCCTGGAAGGATGTTATGTTACTTTTGACTACCACTGAGAAGCAGGCCGACTTACAAACAGCAGAGAAGTTTGGGGATGAGCTTAGTTTTCCATATAGTGCCAAGAAAGGGGAAGAACCTTATCCAATTGGAAAAACAGCAGTACCATTGGAGGACCCTAAATGGGACCCCAAAGAAGACACAGGAGAATGAAGAAGGAAGCACTTTCAGATGTGCATAGCGGAGGGCTTATGAAGGACTAACACTAAGCCTCTCAGTTACTCCAAACTATCCATGATAGACTAGGGATCAGATGAAAATTCCACTGCCATCCTGGAAAGGCTAAGAGAGTCCTTGGTAAAGCATGCCACTCTACCTCCTGATTCAATCAAGGTACAACTAATCCTAAAGGATAAGTTTATTATTCAGGCAGAACCTGATATTAGGAGGAAGCTACAGAAACAGGCTATGGGACCAGATAGTACTTTAGAGGTGGGTGAATCACAAGGTCAGGAGTTTGAGACCAGCCTGACCAACATGCTGAAACTCCGTCTCTACTAAAAACACAAAAATTTCCCGGGCATGGTGGTGTGTGCCTATAATCCCAGGTACTTGGGGGGTGGCTGGCGCAAGAGAATCACTTTAACCCGGGAGGCAGAGGTTGCAGTGAGCCAAGATTGCGCCACTGCACTCCAGCCTGGGCAACAGAGAGACTCTGTCTCAAAAAAAAAAAAAAAGAAAAAGAAAAAAAAAGAAAAGAAAAAAGAAAAAGAAAAGAAAAGAAAACCTCCTGAAAATAGCCACCTCAGTCTTTTATAATAGGGCTCAGGAGGACACTCAAGAAAGAGGAGAGAGAAAAAGGCAGAGGTTCTAGTGGCTACATTGTAGGTTTGCAAACCCCAGAATCCCTGAGATGTACCTCTTAACTGCTATACGTGTGGCAGCCAGGGCACTATAAGAAGGACTGTGCAGGAAACATGGGGAAGCCACCTTAACCCTCTCCAGTCTGCAGTGGGGACCACTGTAGGGTGGACTGTCCCGGGAGATGCAGGTTACCGGGTACAGATAGTCTCCCAAATAGTCAAGCAGGACTGATGGGTCCAAGGGCTCCTCTCTCCAGCTCCGACGACTCAGACCACCATTACCATCCAGGAGCCCAGGGTGATTCTAGAGGTTGAAGGGAGGAAGATAACTTCCTCCTGGATATAGGAGTGGCCATTTCTGTTCTCCTCTCCAATCCAGGCTTCTTCTCCTCCCTCAGTACGACCATGAGGGGTGTCTCAGGACGATACTTTTCCCAACCCATTAGTTGTAGTTGGGAAAACCTCTTGTTTACTCCTGCCTTTTAAATCATGCCTGAAAACTTAACTCCTCAGCTAGGCAGGGATATTTTAGCTCCTATGGGAACCACCATCCTTATGGTTCCAGGGTATACTCTTTGTCTTCCCCCTGGTGGAGACTGATATTAACTCAAAAGTTTGGGCAACTCAAGGGAAAATTGGCTGGGCCACAACTGCCATACCTGTCCAGATCCATTGTAAAGATCCAACCTTTTTTCCTAACCAGAGACAAGATCCCAAAAACCAGAAGCCAGGAAAAAGCTAGAATCAATCAATGATAACTTGATGTTCCAGGGCATCTTCAAACCCTGCAACAACCCTTGTAATGCCCTGATATTGAGGGTACAGAAACCCAATAAGAAATGGAGACGTTCCAGGATCACTACCTCATTAATGACGTTGTGGTTCTAATTCATCTTGTGGTTCCCAATCCCTATATCCTGCTAACTCAAGTACCTGAGGATACTAAATTGTTCACAGTCCTGGACCTAAAGGATGCTTTTTTCCTGCATACCACTACACCCTGACTTCCAATATTTCTTTGCATTCGAGGATCCTTGCAACCAGACTACCCAGCTAACTTGGATGGTATTACCACAGAGATTCTGAGACAGGCCCTACCTGTTTGGGCAGGCATTGTCAAGGGATCTCTCTTTATCCACAATTTAAAGTTTTATAATATGTAGATGACATTCTCCATTGTGCCCCAACTGAGGAAATCTCTCAGGAGGGGTATAAGGCTCTTCTTAATTTTCTAGCTGACAGAAGATGTAAGATCTCAAAATTTAAGGCTCGGCTCTATCAGACTTCAGTGAAGTACTTAGGTTTAGTCTTGTCAGAGGGAACCAGGGCATTAGGCAAAGAAAAGATTAAGCTCATCTCCTCCTTTTCCCTCCCCTAAATCTTCAAGCAACTGAGGGGATTCATGGGCATTAGAGTATTCTCCAGATTATGGATACCTGGGTATGATGAGATAGCTCATCCCTTTATCACCTAAAAAAGGAAGCTCAGACAGCTAATTTGGGAACCAGAGGCTAAAAGGGTCTTTGACCAATTGAAACAAGCCTTGTCTGAGGCATCAGCCGTTAGTCTTCCCATTGGGAAGCCGTTCAATCCTTATGGATCAGAAAGGAAGAGAATGGCCCTGGGAGTTCTAACCCAGGTCCAAGATCCAGTCCAGCAGCCTGTAGGCTATCTAAGCAAGGAGCTTGATTTGGTGGCTAAAGGATGGCCGGCCTGCCTCTGGGCAGTTGCAGTGGTAACTTTGCTGGTGCCAGAGGCTACTAAGTTAACGATGGGGAATAACTTAACTGTTTATACCCTACATAATGTGGCAGGACTGCTGTCTTCCATGAGGAGTCTCCAGCTAACATACAACCATCTCCTCAAATATCAAGCTCTGCTATTGGAGGGATCTACAGTCCAGTTAAGAAGGTGTCACTGTCAAAACTCAGCCACCTTCCTTCCAGAAAAAGCTGGGGAACCTGAACATGACTGCAAACAGATAGTAGTACAAATCTATGCAGCCAGAGAGAACCTCAAAGAAACTACCTTGGAGAACCCAGATTGGACTCTTTTTACAGACGGATTTTTTTTATAGAACAAGAGATCCATAAAGCAGGGTATGCAGTAGTCACCCTGAATGACACTATTGAGAGCACACCTCTTTCTTCGAGCACAAGTGCTCAACTAGTTCAGCTAATTGTCCTCATAAAAATGTTTGAATTAAGCAAAGGGAAAGCAGTTTACAATTATACTGATTCTAAGTATGTTTTCCTAATCCTCCATGCCCATGCCAATATCTGGAAAGAGAGAGACTTCCTCATAGCTAATTGGTCTCCCTTTAAACACCATCAGGAAATTAACAGACTATTATTCTAGGTTTTCCTTCCATTGGCAGTGGCATTGATACATTGTGAAGGCCACCAAAAATGGGTGGATGAAACAGCCAAGGGAAATACATTGGCAGACCAAGCAGCTAAATTGGCAGTGAGAGTTCCACAGATATCTGATCCACTTGAGGCCTCTAATCTGGGAGGGCTGCATAAGAGAAATAAAACTTCAATATTCTTCTGAGGAAATAGAATGGGCCACCTCTTGGGAATACACCTTTCAGCCCTCAGGATGACTACAATCAGAGTATGGCAAACTTCATCCAGCAGCTTTCAGCCAATGGAAAGTTCTTCAAATCCTTCACCAAGCCTTCCACCTAGGAAAGGATTAAACCTATCAATTAGCCCAGTGGTTGTTCTCAGGTCTGGGTTGGGAGGGACCTTACAGTGTACTTCTTTCTACTTCTTCAGCAGTGAAGATCACTGGAATAGATTCTTGGATATATTATACTAGAGTAAAGGCCTGGGGAACTTATGGAATTATCTCTGTTGACCCAGAGAGCACTCAAAGCACCAATGTAAAGAAATTGGAAACCTGAAGCTAAAGATCATAAGTGTCAGTAATTCACCTTTCATGGATATCCTTTATAGTCCTGCCTATGATTGCTGTTCTCACCTTCATTCTGTTCCTCACCATTAGGTGTCTTTGCCAAGGACCCCTAATCCTGAATGCCCATGGGATTATCTACTCCCCTAAACAGAAATCTCTTTTCTAAAATTTAACTGCCCTCCCCCAAATTAGATTTAATTTCTTTCACAAGGGTGAAACTGCTCTGGCCACAACATTGTTTTCAGAATGATTAGTCTATTTTACTTCTTATTTCTGTTATCTCTGGCACAAGATTATTCCCTTTTAGCTCCTTTTTGTATAATACTCATATATGGTTCATGCATACTTAACCTCCTTGTAAAATTTGTTTCTTTTTGGCTAAAGGCCATCAAACTCCAAATGATCATGTAAATGGAGCCTCAGATGATGGCTCCCTTTTTACTGGGGACCCTTAGATAGGCCTCTGAGAGATATCTGACAGCTGTTTTCCCAAAACAATTCCCCCCGTCGGCAGGAAGCAGTTAGAGCAGTCATTGTCCCTATCCTAATGGAAGTTAGATGCACCTCTTCAGAGGGGGGATTGATAGTGAAAGGATACAGACGAATTCCTAGGCAGACAGGGTCCCTCCCTAGGACAGGTCTCAACCTTCAAGCCAGGATAGTTTGAAGCCTGAAAACTGAGATGCCAGTTCTGGATAGAGTCCATGACCAGAGTGAGAATTTCTGTCCCCGGTTTACCCACTCTCCCTCAATTTGTTCCTTCTCGATGATACCTTTTAACCAAACTTTTTCCAAGCCTGCTCATGGACAATTCAGCACACACTCCCCCCCATTCTAAGCCCATAGAAACCTGGACTCAGCCACAAAGTTAGCTTACCCACTTACAGGTCCCCTCAGATGCTGAGAGCTTAGTTTCTGTCGCTCAATACAATTCTACTCTGCCTTACTCACTCTCTGATTTCCACGTACCCTATTCCTCTTGGTTGTGGGACAAGAACCTAGAATTTGCTGAACTGCAGGAGTGAAAGGGGTGTATTGTTTCTGCTTGCTGATCTGCAGGTGGCAGGAGTAAAAGAGCTGTAACACTCTCTCCCACTTGCTGAACAATGGGAGAGAAGTGGCAACTGGGTGACACTCCCTCCTGCTTGCTGAACTACGGGAGTGAAAAACCTGCAACAGTAGCAGTAAGAATCTCTCAGAAATTCAAAACTGTGCATAGATGTGCCTAAGATACAAAGAATAATAAACACATTTCTATTCTAAGGGAGTTTTTAAATCTAGGAGATAAGTTGGCTCTTGTTCACATATACCTACAATTCAAGCAGAATGGGAAAACTCACCAGAACATTCTGGAAAGCTGAGAAGATTCAGGGAAGGAACTGGTCAGGAAGAAGTCACAAAATGGCTTTAAAGAACTCTGAGAAGTTGGAGAGGGATTTGGCAGATGGTGAAACCCACAAGAGAAGTACAAAGTAAAGAGAGAGAAAATCAGAATCATGAAGTATCAAAAGCCAGGAAAATCTGATAATTTGTAAATAATGTAGGCTGGCTCCAGTTGTACAATTGTAGAAAGTTTGGGGAACAGGTCACAAAATGACTTCTTACAATACCTAAAGACCCTGGATTCTATACCTTTGAGATGGAAAGTTTTAATTTTATTGCTTCTAATAAGAGACCGTCTCACCAGTATGTGCTTTAGATAAGTTAAGGTAGAAGCAAATTTATTGTAAAAGGGGAAATAGTTAAGAAGCTATTGTATTAATTCACTCATCTATTCACTTGTCCATCTATTCAACAGTGATTTATGAAATGCCTGCTATGAATCAGGCATTGTCCTGAGTTATGCACCACAGAAAGGCATAGAGTGCAATAACTCAGGTAAGATTAAGGTCATAAATTAGATGAGAATATGTCTTTCTAATATGACAAAAACACAGAAACTATAAAATGATAGATTGTAAATTTGTTTGCATATTTATACATTTGCCTTCATGGCAAAAATATCATGAAATTAAATCAAATGTAATTTTGGGGAAAACAAAACTCACATTTCAGTTGCAGATGCCTGTCTCCAACACTTCCAGCTACCTTTCTAAAAGTGTTTGTTTTGAGTTAACACTTATATGGCACTCTTTCTGTTCTATGTTTGTTTTATTTTAGCCCAGTTGGAATAAAAATACCTTGGCTGTCATGTTCCTAGAGGGGGAAAACTCAGAGAAAAAAAACATATTTTTTTAATACTAAAAGATATGGCTTTGAACAGATTATTCCAGGGGCTATGACAGACACCTAGATGATTAGGAATTGGGACTTACTTTAGATAGTGTGGAAAAGAAGAGTAGTTCTGGCAAAGTGATATTTAAAATGAGGCCTAAAATATGTGAAGAGAATAGAAGTCTGAGGGAAAAATCATTTCAGGTGGCAAGAATAAAGCAAGTAAAAGCCATGCTGTGAAAATGAACAAATACAGTCTGACATTCTGTGATTTATAATTCTTTAGGCTTTGGGCTTTGGCCAGCATATTATAATTATTGTTTTGCCTTTTTTAAGTGAAAAATTTTTAAGTATTGGGTTAACCATACTCTTTTGCTTATGACCATTAAACAAATGGGTTACCAAAGTAATGAGCTCTACTAAAATTATGTATTGAATTTGAACTCTTCTGTTAAAATATACTAATTAATGTTTCTTTCTATTGTGATGATACATTGGGTCTAAGTTTTCCCATTAGGATAAAATTGGCACCTTGATCCACAATTATGCCAGGTAGTACATCATCTTCATTTAAGTAGATATTTAAAGGATCTTCATCACTCATCTGTTTCATTGTTAGTTTTTAAGGACTATTTTAAATTTATTGACGATAATTTTCTAAGAGTGTCAACATTTTTAAAGATCTTGAACTGTTTAAAAAAGAAGGCTAACATTGGAGGACCCTACACCAATTCAAAATCATTTTGTGTATAAATGCATATATTATGTGCACTTCTATATTAAACTAAAAAGAGGCCTAATGAGATGTAGATTAAAACTGATTTTCTGATTTTTAAAAGCTGAATATTCCTTTAAAGCCTTGTTCTTGTGAACTAAAATAATTTTTAATACAGAGGTATTTAAGTAGGATTTTATAAATTTAAAATGTTAGATGTCTCAGAAGAAAATTTGGGGAATACTGTTTTATTAATGTTATCGACCTATCCCCAACACTTTACTAGACTTAAATCTCTATAATCTAATTTTCTGTATCAAGATTGTCCTTCTTCAGAAGTTTTGGTGATTGAGGAGAAGATCCAGGGTTTCAACATGATGAACCGTGTCTTGTTCTCAGCAAACATAATAAAAGAGAACTTAGTATTATATAATAGAATCTGGGAGAAAACAAGATTCTTGGCATTCTGAGGTTTTCTAGCATGAGGATACTTATTTTACATGCAGGCTTCAGGGAGGTATATTGGAAAGTTAGTAACTGTGCCATGTTATTTTCTCTTTAGATATTTGGAAACAAAACCAAAAGGACACCAGTAACAAGTGAATAAAAATAACTACAAAAAATTACACCTGACTTCAAAGTATAAAATTACTCTTCTATCCTACTTTTCTGTATCTACCATTAATACACAGACTTTCTCTTACCACCTAAACAAACACATATGTACATGCACACACACACTTGCACTTGCTCATGAATACAACATATCATAGTGGTTAATAACACAAACTCTAAAATCATTCCACCTGGAATTAAGTCTTGGCTTTGTCACTGATCGCTGTCAACTTGGACAGGTTACTTTACCTATCAGTCCTTACTTTCCTCATCCATAAGCAGATCTATAAAGCATATTCTAGCCTATGTTGTTAGATTAAATGAATTGGTATATGCAAATTACCTAGACCAGTGACTATCAAACAGTAAGTAATACATAAGTACAGATGGTATGTATGATGTAAGTGTTAAATGACATCATTAGCATGATTACCGTTTTAATGCATAGCAGCACAAAGTCTATGGAAAGAAAACAGGAGGAAAACTGTGGGATTTCATTGGGAGGAAAGAAATGATGTACTTTTAGTTCCGAGAAATGACTTGTGTTCAGTCAAGTTAGGAAATCATTTAGCAAGACCTTGTGACAAAGCAGGCAAGAAAGTGAGAAAGAAACTGAAGGATATTTAAATTTTTGTGATTTTAAAAGCAAAGTGAGCCAATGGTCTGTATCCAATCCAGGTGGGCAGAAACTGTGCAGCCCAGATAGAAACATGTAGCACTACCCTTGGTCACTCTAAATATGGACTCCTTCCTTATGGCTTCACATCTATATTCTCATCTGATGCCCAAATCCATTATGAGATATAGATATGGTATATATTTATATTATTGTACAGAGGAAGCAGTTGATTTTGAAAAAGTTGTTACTTATCTAATGTCAAAATCTATTCAGTTTTAGAAATAGAATTTGAAGCTACTTCTCAGTTTCATATATTTTGCATTATACCATTTGTCCTTATGAATGTCTCATTTTAGAAATATTGTCAAGTGTTTTAAGGGATAGTAATATCACCATCATTAAGAATATGTCCTGATATAAAAACATAGTAGCAATTTCCACATCTTGATACATATTGTAAATTATCATTGATGAAATAAAAAATCTGAGATAAGTTTCAGAACTATTCCTGAAACATGTACACAATGTGGCTTTTAAGAAAAGCGCTCTATACACCCAATAAATTAACCCAAAATAAGCTGGTTTTCATGGTGCACACCTGTAATCTTAGCTATACAGGAGGATTGCTTGAGCCCAGGAGTTCAAGACTAGCCTGGGAAACACTGTGAGACCCTGTCTCAAAATAACATAAAATGAAATAACCAAAAACAAGAAAAAAATTAAACTCAAAAACTAAAACTGCTTACATTGTTTTTTCAGAGGAAAGGCGGGGGTAACAACATTAAAACCTATTTTTTTTTTCTAATTGAAAAAGAATGGTTTATGCTATCAGATGAATGCCTCCAGCAGAATGTAATTTGGTTAAGACATTATTGGTAATGCTGTATGTGGGATGACCACACGTTTTGTTTGTCCTGGACAGTACTAGTTTATCCCTATTTGCCTTGCATCACTTCTGTTAGCCTTTGTCTCAGATTTTTCAATTAAAAATTATTATTAATAATTACATTTAAAAAGGTTAGAGTTATTTTGGCAATCCTCACTTTGTACTTCTAGCTGTGAAAATATAAATGGATTGAGAACAGCATCCATACTTTAACACACGGTCAAGTAAGCTATCAGGTTTACCTCTCTTTTTCTGATGCTTTCCAGGAGCCGTATAACTCTTGGTAATATTTTACAGACAGTGTATGTGACCCTGCATGGTAAAAGGCAGTGGTGGGAGAAGTATTCAGAGCTGGTAACTAAGGTCTCAACTTGGCCCTCCAGCTAGATGTGGTTTTATGCATCCTCAGCTTGTGAAATGCTGAAAACCACAAAGCACTGGTGGTAGCTGGTGAGGCTGGTGGAACAATGAGACAATTATAGTTTTGGTGCATGTGAAATAACTACAGGAAATATGGACTCATCCGTACTGCCATAGAGAATATAGAGAGTGGTGTGAGGACTCACTACAAAGGACTTGTCATTTATTGTTTGGTGAAAATCTATACTGTTCAATTATTTACTATTTTAGTGCTTATTTATTTTTAAGCCATAAACTCCATCTGCAACAATAAACAGTCTCACTCCCCAAAAATGCATTTATAATACAAATTAAGAAATAAATTTCCATTTCTCAAGAAAGTTGATGAATAATATGTTACTTGTACACAATGTCTGTTGACATTTACGATACTTATCACTCACACAGAAAGTGGAAGAAAAAGACAAAATTGCTCAAGAAGCAATACCATCAATTTTACAAATAAGTAGCTATATTAAGACAGTGCTCTAAAATAAAGATTTAACACATACAGCTGTAGAGGGTATATTTTCATAGCATTTGGGAAGCATGATATTTTATTTAAATCAAATGACTTTTCCTCAAAATTAAACTTGATCTTTTTTATTCTAAGATTTATGACACATGCACACAAAGTTAAACCACGGATATCAGTTCCATTAATATATAAGAATTTCAAAATTGTCAAATATTGCCACATTTATCAAATAATGCCAAATAGAAAATGAGTTAAACTAATTTTAATAATGGATTGATTATTTCATGGAATTCAGAAATCAAAGTAAACATTTTAGAAGTTCCTTCAGTTGGATGTGAAAATTCTACCATTATTAAGAATTCCAATAGAAAGTCAGTTAAGTAATCCATTATTTAAGGTAAAATAACTTGCTTTTGTGGCAATAATATTAAAAACATTTTTGAAGCACAGAGTCATAGTGAAAACAATGTTTAACCACATTAAGAAACCAATAAACTGAAATTGTATTTGGAATTTAATAGAAACTGTTTTGTAAACCTAAAATATATTTCTATACCCAGAGATATAGGACACCAAAGATTTGAGACAAAACAAATGTTTAGGTGGTATACACTTTGTCTGTTTGTAGCTCATTATCTATAAGATGTTAGAAATATTTGAGGCTTTAATGACCTAGTTTGTAAATGATGTTGCATGTCTTAAAATGTTATTGAAACTTTCTATAAACTAGGCCTCTTAAATTTGCTTAAATTTTGTATTAAAAATCAGCTCAGAATCTTTATTAAAAGACTTTGATGAGTGCAACATCAAATAAGTAATCTTTTGAAGCTTCTAGTAAGTTTTAGTTATCAAGAATAAAGATTGCTAGGAGGAAGAGAAATATCAGTATATCTCTACAAAAATATGAGGAGTTGAGCAAGTTAAAAATAAAAAGTCAGTGAGTAAGATTTTATTTTCAAATTATATAAATTTTCTTTAGAATATTATGTGGAAAGAATCATTTGACAGGGCTTCTATTTTTATTTGGATACAGTGTTTTGTTTTCTATGCATGAACAGAACACCTTGACAGGTTTTCTCAGTTTTGCAGCCTCGAAGGTTGACAAAACATTCAAAACAATCACAAACGAAGGTAATATATATTGAGTTTTGTTATATGAAAATATTTGTCATAAAGAGGCCCTCTGCATGGAGGAAAAGAACAGTACCTGTAAAACTGTTTGGATTGAAATATTTATACATTTGAATATTTACATATTTCAATACAAAAATAGAAATAGTTACGCATTTCAATATGAAAAAAATAATACTGTTTATCCTCTATGTATTAGTATTTGTTTGGGACTTGGAAATTATCAAAAGGATTTTCTCCTTCAGAAACAAATGATCTACAGAGAAAAGTCATCAAGGATGTCAACAATTTCATTTTTATTAATCATAAAACAAATGTTAGAAGACTGAAGCCTATTTGAGTAAATAAATTAAAATTTATAAGACTATATTGAAAAAATACATTATTTGACTAAATATAATGCAAATGATTTTAGTCATACAGATAAATAAAGAATGGATTAAAGTACATAAAAATGTACTGGCTAATTATTAATTATTCCACTCTATGTTTTTTATTTTTAGATGAACAATATTTAAAAAAAAACTTTTTGCTTTATGTACGGGACATTTTTCTTTGTATTTTTTAAAAAACCAATTGAACTGTTTAAAACAGCCTAAAAGAAGATTTCAACATCTGCCACTATAATAAAATCAAATATAATTAATAAATACATATATATACAATAATTTTAATAGTTTGCCTACTGTCTTTCATTCATAGACGTATCCTGGTTTGGACAAACTATTAGGTGTTTGCTTTAACTTTAAATTAGTCAATCAGTTGGCAGAATAGACAACTAATATGAGACTACCAAAAGTGTAGTCTGCTTTCACAGCTGCTAGTAAACATTTTCCTAAAAATTTTTATTTAGAAAAAACTTACATTTTTAAAAAATCTATAAATTTTAGATTTGTGCCATGCACAACCATGTACATTTACATAGAACTACCAGTCTTTAACAGTTTACCACATACTCTCCTCTGTGTGTGTGTGTGTGTATTTTTTTTTCCTGAAAAATTTGCTAGTAAGTTGCTGATATTGTAGCACTTCAATAAATTAGACTCATCAGATACTGTTTTATGCTTCAGTACTTAGTTGGTAAAATTTAAATTCACCAAGCTTATATTTTGGTATAGAGTTATGAAAGTCATTCTTTATATCAGTATAGTGTGGGAAGAAAATGAAAATAAAAATTCTCAGCGTTGAATGAATAAATAACATAATCATTTTAAGCATTACAACAATTAATGAATAAATGCACTTATTTTTTCTATATTTAATCAATATTTATTGAGAACCTATTATACCTATTCCTCTTTTATAACAAATATTGAACAAGATAGTCAATGTTCATATACACAGAGTACTTTCAGTCTAGTGGAGTGTGAACAGACAAAGAGGAGATAAGTTCATACTCACGTAATATTTCATTAAGAGCTTTAAAAATCCTTTTGATAATTTCCAAGTCCCAAACAAATACTATTACATAGAGGATAAACTCAGTATTAATTTTTTCATATTGAAATGCATAACTATCTCTATTTTTGTATTGAAATATGTAAATATTCAAATAGACAACTGAAAGTGTTATTTCAGGTAGCATACATGAGACAGAGCTCTCTTAGGAGTTGTATTCGAATGTAAACTTTAAAAAGGTGAAAGTGTGTGTCTTGTGAATATGTGGTGATAGAATGTTAGGATCAGAAGGACCATCGTGTGTGAAAGCCATGTTGAAAAGAGGAGAGGGCCAATACAACTTTAGGGCTGATAATATAGGGACATCACCTAGAAGATGACATGAGAGCCACTGTCAGGTATAGACCGGGTCACATAAGGGTTTTGACCATGGCCCAATCTTAGATTTATGATTCAGCAAATTACAGCTCTGAGGCCAAAGCTGGCTCATGGGCTGGTTTAAGTGACCTATGAGCCAATATTTTATTTTTTAGATTTTTAAATGTTCATTAATAAACATCAACAACAAAGAAAAAGAACATGTAACAGAGAGAGGCTGTATGTGAGCCACAAAGCTTAAAATATTTACTTTCTGGTCTTCAGAGGAGAAAAAAATATGGTAATTCCAGATGGAAAGTCATCACAATTTGAGAGCTGGAGAGTCACATAATATGTATTATATTTTATAATGACTACTTTAATATTAGTGTTGAAAATATTCTGCAGGCAGTCAAGAGCAGAAGCAGAATGATCCGTTAGGACGCTATGGCAATGGTCCAGGCAGTAGGTGGGAATGGCTAGGTCTAGGGTGGTAGTTTTGGAGGAGCTGAAAATTTACAGGACTTGGGCTATAACTAGAAGGTAAAATCAATAGAATTTGCTAATTTGGTGAATGAAGATAAGCAAACAGTTTAAAACATGTGCAACTGCTCACTGTGTGGTGTTTTTCTAGGAAGTGACAACCCAGAGTGTGCACATTTTATATCGTGTTTATGTTACAGATAATTTATTTATTTCTTCTAGAATTAAACTCCTTTTACCAATTCTATATAATTTTCTCACGCTTTCTATTTTTTTTTAAGACAATAATCTGTGATGGCAAATGAATGCTAACAAAAGTAATAGTTAAAAGAGTCACTCTATTTCTTAAATATCATTATTTTATATATTTCCATTTTGATCATCAGTTACTTTTTCTGGCATCAAATTTCAAAATAACAGCTTAGGAGTGGCAGATGTATTTTGTTAAAGACAGAAAGTAATGCCGTCATATTCACTTTAAATATGTTTTGTCATTTAACAGACCCTCACTCTTTCTCTACTGGAGTTAAGAAACTATTTTTGTTAATTTGCTTAAGTAACCTATAAGTGTTTTTCCATTTTGCACAGCTCATCTAAAATGATCATTTTTCCAGTTATTTTAGTTGCCATAAGACAATTTCCAAACTTTTACAGTATCCTTTTTTTAAAAAAAATAAAGTTATGGTCCTTTAAATTCTCACTTTCTTAAAAATCTCAATAGCCTTTGCTATTTTATCTTATTTTTACATACATGTGTATATATACATATATGTAAACTAATTTCTTATTATTTCAATGTAAATATTTCCCCAGAATTGTTGTACCACATTACATTCAACTATTTGCTTCCTGAAGAACTTTTAATTTGGCCCAAATTTCTAAAATTTTAGAAACAGTTACATGGAACTTATCAGGGATATTTCATCAAAATCAACAATTAAAAAAATAAAAAAGAGAAAAATAATTATTCATATCAGATGAGCTTTTCATATTATTGCTGAGTGTAGGTTACCTTTGTAGTAGTAAACTGATCATCAAAAAATTACCTTTAAAAATGATTTTACTGTTCTGATACTCTTTCCTACTGTGTTTCATGGCTACACAAGGAGCATGGATGAGCAACAAGGGCGCTCCAATTCTGTTCCTCTCAAGAAGGGTTACATATTTTGACTGAATTAGCTAGTTAGTTGTAAAAAACGATTTTACTATTGCCTTCCAAATTTAGCATTCATTTGCCTAGACTGTGCAAATCTAAAAAAATTGACAATAGGAATTTTCATCTGCTTTAGCTCTCTTGGAATTTAAGTCAATATTTCAGATCATGTAAAGATTTTTTTAAATGTATGTTCAACAATCTGTCTGCCCAATGAAAATCCTTCTCTCTTTCATCATTTGCTATTTAAATACTGAAAATCAAACCATTTCTTGCTATAGAGATAATTAAATAACCTCATGTTTTTGTGACTAAAGTTAGACCAGCTGATACAAAATGTTAGATTCTACAGAACTCTAGGGATTGTATTCACACTCTCCAGAACTTGATTTTGTTTTGAGGTGAGCAGAACTTCTATAAGCTTTATGTTTAAGAACTTTGTTTTACATAAACTATATTCAAATCTCAACTCTACAACTTACTCCTATTAGCTCTCTTTATATCTCAGAGCATGAGTTTCTTTTTCTTTTTTTGCAATAAAGGATTTTAACACTTCTGAGAAGTTTTTACTGAAATAATGATTGTAGACTAATAATAAATGTTGACAAAAATTGGGGTAAATGGAGTTCTTATACATTAATGAATGGAGCTGTCACTTGGTTCAAATACTTAGAAAAATTTTTATGGTATTCACTAGAGCTAAGCATTTCCCTATCCCATGACCCAGAAATTATTAATACAATATGCATGATACGGGCACACAAGAAATGGAGTGCATATGTCCATCCAAAGAATGTTCATAGCAGCTTGATTCCTGATACATAAAATGGAAAATTATCCAAGTACTCTTCAGTAAGAATGTGGGAAACAAATCATGGTCTCTCTAAACCTGCATGAAATGAAAGAGCTACAGATACACAAAGCATAAATGAATCTCATAGTCTCTATGTCAAGCAAAAGAATCCAGATACATGATAATACATACTTCATGATTTTATTTGTATGAAATTCAAGAACAGACAAAACTAATTTATGGCAATGACAGTCAGAATAGTGTTACATATTGGAGTGTCATATTGGCTCTGAAGTTATTAAAAAAAAAACTTCTGCTGTCATAGAAACTTTAATATATTGATCCCAGTAGTGTTTATTGGAGTGCACACATGCACAATAATTTATCCAGGGGTATATATATGAAAATCCAGCAAATTGTCAAGGAAAAGCAAGCATTTTATTGTATGTAAGTTATGATTAAATAAGAAGTTATATAAAGCAGTTTGAACGGTATCTGACAAATAATGTGCAAACATATTCAGGAGAACATTAGCTATAGGTCAAAATAAGTGTTATTTAAAACCCTTACATACCAATTCCCAATTACATTTAGATAAAAGTGAACATAAACTGGTCACAAAAATACTGTTTAATAATAATTTAATAATTGACCAAGTGTTCTCTAAATTACACATTATAAACAGATGTTTAGAATACCAACTGCACATCAATAAAATATTACACAATTTAATTTAGATGGTAGGAAATATATGCATATTGAAACAATGTTTAGGAGATTTTAGAGAAAAATAATTTACCATCCATCTGTGAAACTGGTAAGATGCTTAATGGAACTCTCATTTAGTGCACAAAACATAAGATTTGACATGGTAGATATAATAGGCATTACTCTTTATAAAAGAGTTGATCCACTTTTAAAATCAAACCAAATTCATTATTTTTTTTTGACATTAACAGAAATGAAGGTCAGATGCAGTCTGTTGTATTTAATATATTATTTGATAAACTTATTTTGACAGATGTCTTATACAATATTCCTTCTCCAGGAAAAAATATTTGGGGTTTTTTAAGAGTTAAAGTAATATTGTTTTGCATTTTCAGCCAGATTTTATTAGCAATTAGCTGGTGAATATAACAAAAATATGGATTTTTTTTGGTTGGATACCATCTTGTATTAAACATCATAGAGATAAGAGACTCTGATTTTCAGTCCCTATTGAATCTTTATTATAGCTTAAGATTTTTTTTTATTTTTGTGACATATCCTGTTAGTTCTAAGTAAAAGCACTCAGCATGACTAGGATCACTTTTTATCTACTTTTCTATCAGCAGTTTTTCAGGTACAGCATAGTTACCTATATTATTCACTTACATGTCACTTATCTTCAGGAGCTAATCTGCTACAATTACCAAGAAATGTAAGATCCTAAGTATCTCAACATATCTTTTGTTTTTATCTTTTCTAGCATAATTTTGTTATTTTATGTGACATTTACACTTGTCTCAGGAATGCAAGATTAGGAAACTAAGTGATATGACTAAAGGTGCACCTGGTTTGCTATCAGATCTAAATTCAAATCTAGAGGTATGGCTTACTCATGTAAAATTATTTAATCTCTTTTAACATGGGAATTATAACTACATTACAAGATGTTTGCAACAATAAAGATGAAATCACGTGACTAATTATTGTTCCATAATCAGTTGATAAGTGGCACTTAATTTTATGAAGGTTCATTTCTTACACTGACTTGAAACCCCAGCAAACCCAAGAAGTGACCCACTTATCTAGTCAATGGCCAACTATTGTTTTCAGTAGCCCAAACATTTGGGATTTTCACCTTTCACTGTAACTTTCCCAAACAATTTTCATGAGATTCATACGGCACTTTTTTTCTTTCTTGTTCTCAGCCTCTCAAAGCATGACACTGTGTTTGAACAAGATAGCAAACCACTGCAAATCCCGTTTGTCTGAACTGCTAAAAAAAATTAGTTAAAAAATAGACGTTGTCACACTTTTCAGACAAGAAAATGTTTAGCTATTCCATTGTCAGTGTAAGATAATAATATCACACTAAAATAAAGGGACTTTTTTTTCTTAATTTCCATAGCCTATGGATATTCATTTCAATATCTGAGAAAGCAATGACAAGGCAATGTGGAACAGGCACTCCACTTCATTAGCTAGTTCATCCCACTCTGAATATCTAAGTTTAAGTGCCAATTTCTTCAGAGACAGGATGAAATTTGTAAATTTTATTTCCTCTGTCTCTTCCATAACCAAAACCACTGGGGGGTTATATACAGTGCCATTCTCCAGATGGCTTATGTTATGAGACTATTTATAAAAGAAAGATTGATGTTTGGCAGGAAAAAAAATAAAATGGTCCTACAGTGACCTAGAAGACAAAATATGCCCTATACTCCCATATAAAAAAGTTATTTCTCTCTCTGAATAGATATTCCACACGGAGGAAACCGACTCAGAATGTTTCACAGCAGCATGAGTTATTTTCTGGGTCACTTCTTTTTTTTTAATACTTTTCCTGCCTTTGATAAAGTTTCCTTTGCAATGTTTTGGATATTGAAATCTGGGAGTTTCAAAGACTAATCCCAAGGAATCACATTATAGCAAATAATTAATCTTGATATTGGCAATTTCCTGACCTACATATTAAGCTATTGCTTATTTCACTAAACATTTTTCTTCATTAAAGGCAAAGGAAATAAATTCTGAGTTTCATAGATGAAAGAATCTCTCTCTCTCTCTCTCTCTATATATATATATACATATAGATACATGCACAAAGACACATAGACATATGTACATGCATACATGTACATACATACATATATATGAATACCTGCACACACTTATATGTATAATGTATTTTATGAGTTTATATGTATATACATATATAATCTGTTTATTGTAACATGTGAATTAAAATATAGAGAAAAAATAGATATAAAATATGCCTGCATAGGTAGATTTCCTTTCCTATCCTTTCAAAATGGCTTTTTTTTTTTTTTTTGATAATTGCAAGATACTTTAAAAAAGATGAAGTAAATTTTGCCTGGGAGGATAAATACTTAAAAATTTACTTGCTACTTTGTGTAAGAGACACTGTCCTCAACCTGGACATACTGCTCTTTGTACACTGTAGTGTGTAATTTTGATGTGTCATGCAGGAATTTTTCCCCTCACGAGTTATGTCAGAAATTCTAGGGTGGCTTACGATATTGGAGATATTCAATATTCATTATAGCAAGCACCAATTAAAGAAGAACAGAATATAATCTAGAAAAGCAATTTCAATATGAAACTGTAACACAATATGTTCATTTACCTTGATTATATTTAGATTTCAAGCCAGCTGTTGTATCATAAACACTGTTTGTTTCATTGCCAAAATTAATGTGCCTAGTCTGAGTTATTTAGAAAAATACATATGCAATTATGTTAAAATTAAAGAAGTTATGAAATATGATTATTAATCAAAATGCTTTACATTGATTTAAAACAAGATAATGCATTTATAAAATGAGTTCTACTGCATCCCCTCTTCAGGTTAATAGTTTGAGAGTTCATCATTTTTTATTTTTCTCAGAAGAAAATAAATGTAAATGGTTTAAATTCAAATTTAATAATTCAATAAATTAAATTCTCATATGCTAAGTTACATTTAATCCATGAATAATGATAGTTTTTCAACTTATGTGTGTTTTTAACTTTATCATGCATTTAGTACTGGAGATATTTGTCTTAAATATTCATGATGAGTTAAATAACTTTTTGTGTACATGGAAGTTCAAAGAGCCAATTTTTGTACTTTCTTCTTTCAATTATATTATATATATCCCAGAGGTTAATATAGACATATTGAGAGTAGTGTTGCAGCTTGATACACAATTAGGTAAACTATGGGTCCCTTAAATAATGATAAAGCCATAATCCAATAATCCTGATGCTAAAACATAATTTACTGAATAATACTAATATTAGCTTATATTTGCTGCATGTATGCTTCCAGTGCACCAAGTACAGTGCTAAGTTATACACAAAACACACACACTCATATTTATATGTCAGAGTAAATTTATAATCTTGATATTATTATTCTCACCATCTTACATATTCAGAAAATGAATTTTGGAGGCATTCAAAATCCTGGCATGTTGGTCAAGAACTTACATTTGCAGAGCATTGATCTTAACTGTGATGTTATAGTGATTCATTGTCTTTCTTTCTTTCTTAAACCATTACATTACAATTTCCCCTTGGTGTAAATAACAGCCCTTTTCTCTCTTCATCATTCTTTTATCTCAAAGAAAGAGTATGACAGGTATGTTAAAAACTATTGTCTATGTGTCTCTTATTGTATACCAAGCTGTTTGAAGTAGTTAACGTAATAAATTCATTTAATTCCAATACCAATGTTACAGGAGATGAACCATTTCAATTTTTTAGAGATAAAGAAACAGAGGCATCAACAGAATAAAACTTTCCTTAAATTGCAAAGCCCAATGGTGATAGAGTCATGAAATATGAACCCAGTTTGTCTTGCTCCAAAATCTGTGTTTTCAGTCATCACTGTGCTTTCATTCAAAGCAAGGATACTTGCTCTTTCAAGTAGATTATCATTTTATGCTTATTATTATTGTAATGGAGGAATAAGACATATACCCAGGAAAAATAACTAGCAATATAACTAGACATATACCCAGGAAATATATACTAGACATATACCAAATAACTAGACATATACCCAGTAAAAATAATTAGCAATATAAGCCGAACGTGATGAGCGACTATATATAGTATGAATGAGAAGCACTACTGTAATTTAGAAGTAAAAAAAAAAAATCAATTATTTCCCCACTTTAGCTTCCTAATAGCCTTTGTCTCACCTTCTCTATATGTTTATATACAATTCAACATATGTTAAAAATGTTATAGCAATTCATGCTACCTTTTAACTTACTGAATTTCAGTCATTCGCTCTGCTTTGCCTAGCAGTAGCCAAATTACACACACAAGACATGGAAGAAGAAAATTTTTTTTTTTTTTTTTGGAGACGGAGTCTTGCTCTGTGGCCCAGGCTGGAGTGCACTGGTGGGATCTCGGCTCACTGCAACCTCTGCCTCCCGAGTTCGAGCTATTCACCTGCCTCAGTCTCCTGAGTAGCTGGGATTACAGGCATCAGCCACCACGCCTGGCTAACTTTTGTATTTTTAGTAGAGACGGGATTTCACCATATTGGTCAGGCTGCTCTCGAATTCCTGACTCAAGTGGTCTCCCAGCTTCGGCCTCCCAAAGTGCTGGGATTACAGGCATGAGCCACTGCGCCCGGCCAGAAATTTCATTTTAGCTTATGTTAGAAATGTAGTAGAAGCCGGGCGCTGTGATTCACGCCTGTAATCCCATCACTTTGGGAAGCCGAGGCAGGTGGATCACGAGGTCAGGAGTTCAAGATCAGCCTGGCCAAGATGGTGAAACCCTATTTCTACTAAAAATACAAAAAAAAAAAAAAAAAAAATTAGGCGGGCATGGTGGTGGGTGCCTATAATCCCAGCTACTCCGGAGGCTGAGGCAGAGAATTTCTTAAACCCGGAAGGCGGAGGATGTAGTGAGCTGAGATTGCGCCACTGCACTCCAGCCTGGGTGACAGAGGGAAACTCCATCTAAAAAAAAAAAAAAAAAAAGTAGTAAAGGAGACATGCGTGATAGATTTAAACAAAATGTATATCTAATAATATAACTATCAAATAAAGTATTTCTGTGATAAAATTTATTGTGGAAATATTCATGAATGTCATAGATGAGATTTGCTTTTTCATTGTTTTATTAAACATCTGTGCTTCCATTTTGAAATAATACTTGAAATCCCACTGTTTATCTTACTTTCCTTTGTCAGTCATAATCTTTGAAAATATGTAGTGCAAGTGCTGAACTGCATCCACACTAGTTCTTTCCTAATTAAGAGTTGCAGCATATCACTGAAACAAAAGAAAAATATTTTTATTTTTTCAGGTCCTTAAATTATCTATAGCTTTAGACACTATTGACCAATTGTCAGTGAATCAGAATCTCCTTCCTTACTGTTCTTAATGACTTTGTACAGTTTGTATCTCATTCTGAAGTATAATGGCTACTTTTACTTTCTTAATTTTCCTCACCTCTGCTTAGTGTGATAGCCAGTTTGGATATTCATTGCCTATTACGACCTCCTACACAAGTTTATTCCATTTTTTTCCATCATCCCAGTCATGTACCATTCACACTGTAGTTATCTGAGTAGGTAACATAGTATTACCTCAAAAATAAACATATTAAAATGTAATTTATCTTTTTCTTTCAACTGTCTTTCCCATGAAGTTGACACCACTTACCTTTCAATGGCTTTATATTCTGAACTCATCCTGCTAGATCTTGTTTTAAATGTAAGCCCTATTATCTCTTTCAATAGAGCTCTCAATTATTTCTTCTTTCTTTATGTCTAATGCCTTCAAGTTAGTTCATGGCCTAATGAATTCTCTCTGAATTATCCTAACAGCTTCCTGGATATAATCACAGGTACAATATAAGGACATACAACAAACATAAGGACATAAAGCCAGAGCACACACAATCTCTAATTATAAACTTCAAGGATAAATGTAATTAAATCACATGCTATTAAAAGTATTAAAGTAAAAGTATTTCATTAATGGTAATCGCTTGGCACTTCTCTAAGCCAGATACATTTAGTCCTTAAGAAAAATACTATTTATGTAAAGAAAAATTTTCCATACGGACGAGTTTTGTCTTTCCAAAACACATTTTTTTCAGTCTTACTCACGATGAATTATTTAAATTATGACAATGCTTTTGTAGAATAATTGTGAGATGAGCGAGAATAGCTACTCTAACTTTTTAAACATTTACAAAAAAATACTGTGCCATGGTTATATTGGAGAAAGAATTTTTAAAAATTATCACCTCTACCCAAGTAATTATATAATCCTATTGTATATCTTTGTATTTGAAACTGTAATCCTTTTGTCACCATTTTTTTAAATAGTTACTTAAAATGCTCACCACTTCTTTTTACTAGGTGAGCCACCTAGTTATGTAAAATAAACAAGTACTTCTCAGAGGCCAGATTGAAACAATTTTATTTAGCTTAAATTCTTCCTAGCTACCTACTTTCTTCCTTTCAAAACTCTTATTTTCAAAAAGATATTAAGATACCAGCACTATTCATTTATATCACATTGATTATGTAAATAAATTGAAAACGTTTCCTTACAAATTAAAAGAGAAAAAAGTAACTTGCAATAACCCTGATATTTTTATCTCTATTTATTCAATAAACAGCATCTTTTTGCTCTAAAACACACTTTTGAATACTTGCAGAAGGAAATCCAGATTTTGATTAAATTTTCTATTGATTGCTATGCAATTCTGTATGAATCATGGTTCCTTAATAATTCCACTATAAGTTTCAGATTGAATAAGATGGTTGTCGATAGACTTGGACTTCAACACTGTAGCTTTATATAAGTCATTTGAACCTTCAGATTCTTAAAAATGCCATAATGTCAGTATAACACAATAATTTTTTGATTCTGGGTCACCAAACAAAATGTTCATAAAAAGTCATTCATCCAGTGTTAGTGGCTACATAATAGAAGCAGGTGGAAATAACAAATATTTTTTATCATCCACTTCTACACATCCTCCTGGTTCAGGGCCTAAATAGCAAGTGTTTATTCCTGGTAAGTACATTATCTTCTTGAAATGATATATTTTGCTTTTAAGTGGTATTACAGTGAGCTAGAAGTTATAATACATTCCCATTATGCATCTAATATTTATTTGAATGTACCCATTGATAAGATACCATACTTATATATCAATGTTTCATAATTCTTTAAAATGGATGGATATAAAGATTAAGATACATTTAAAGATAACAAATCAATATTAGTGAAGTTATTTTGTTAAGGCTGAATATAATGTGCTGAATATTCAGACATCTACATAAAAGGGAAATCTGTGGTTCTGTGTTCTGCCTCAGGAGGTAGAAAAAGGATGGATAGATATAGATAGATAGTGAATGGTAAGAAATCAATGGACCAAACAACGATCTGCAAATCATGGTTGGTTATGAAGTGTCTTGCAAGTAATATGTTCTTCTTCACTGTTAAGGTAGCTGATAATTTTTTGCAGTTGCTCTTCAATAAACCACTATTATTCACTCTCAGTTTAAGTAGTTCTACTGAGTAGAATTTACGTTGCAGCTTGATATGGTTTGGCTCTGTGTCTCTACCCAAATTTCATGTTGAATTTTAATCCCCACGTATTGGAGGAGTGGCCTGATAGGTGGTGACTGAATTCAGGGGGCGGACTTCCCCCTTGCTGTTCTTGTGACAGTAAATGAATTCTTATGAAATCTGGTTGCTTTAAAAGTGCTGTTTTAAAAGTGCTCATGAGATCTGGTGTTTAAAAGCTGCTTTTAAAAAATAAGTTATTTATTTATTTTATTATTTTTTGAGACGGAGTCTCGCCCTGTCGCCCAAGCTGGAGAGCAGTGGCGCGATAACAGCTCACTGCAAGCTCCGCCTCCTGGGTTCACGCCATTCCCCTGCCTCAGCCTCCCGAATAGCTGGGACTACAAGGCACCCGCCACCACGCCCAGCTAATTTTTTTTTTTTTTGTATTTTTAGTAGAGATGGGGTTTCACCGTGGTCTCGATCTCCTGACCTCCGCATCTGCCCGCCTCGGCATCCCAAAGTACTGGGATTACAGGCGTGAGCCACCACACCCAGCCAAAAGCTGCTTGTTAAAAAGTACTGTGTAGTGCTTCCCCCTTTGCTCTCCCTCTCTCCTGCTCTGTCATTGTAAGTTGTGCTTGCTTCCCCTTTGCCTTCGCCATGACTAAGTTTCCTGAGACTTCCCAGCCACGCTTCCTGTACAGCCTGCAGAACTGTGAATCAATTAAACCTCTTTTCTTCATAAATTACCCAATCTCAGGTAGTTATTTATAGCAGTGTGGGAATGATCACAGAAAATTGGTACTAGGAGTGGGGCATTGCTATAAAGATGCCTGAAAAGGTGGAAGCAACTTTTGGAACTGTGTAATGGGCAGAGGTTGGCATAGCTGGGGGGCTCAGAAGAAGACAGGGAAATGAGAGAAAGTTTGGAACTTCCTAAAGACTTGTTGAATGGTTATGAACAAAATGCTGATAGTGATATGGACAATAAAGTCCAGGCTAAGGTGGTCTCAGATGGAGATGAAAAAGTTATTGGGAAACGGAGCAAAGATCACTCTTGCTATGCTTTAGCAAAGAGATTGGTGGCATTGTGCCCCTGATCTAGAGATCTGCAGAACTTTGAACTTAAGAGAGATGATTTAGGGTATCTGGCAGAAGAAATTTCTAAGCAGCAAGGCATTCAATATGTGGCCTGGTTGCTTATAAAAGCCAATGCTCATTTAAATAAGTAAAAACAACTTATATTTAAAAGGGAATGAGATCATAAAAGTTTGGAAAATTTGCAGCCTGACCACGTGGAAGAAAAAAAAAATTTCTGGGGAGAAATTCAAGCCCACTGCAGAAATTTATATAAGTAAAGAAGAGCAGAATATAAATAGCCAAGACAATGGGGAAAATGCCTCCAGGGCATTTCAGGGACCTTTGTGGCAGCCCCTCCCATCACAGACCTGGGGACCTAGGAGAGAAAATGGTTTCATGGTCCAGGCCCAGGGACTTGCTGCTCTTTGCAGCCTCAGGACATAGCACCCTGCATCCCAGCTGCTCTAGCTCCAGCCGTGGCTGAAAGGTCCCAAGGTACAGCTCAGGCCATTGCACCAGGGGGTGCAAGCCCTAAGCCTTAGTGGCTTCCACATGGTGTTGGGCCTTCGGGTGCACAGAAAGCAAGAATTAAGGTTTGGTAGCCTCCACCTAGATTTCAGAGGATGTATGGAAATGCCTCGATGTTCAGGCAGAAGTCCATTGCAGGGGTGGAGCCTTCATGGAGAACCTCTACTAGAGCAGTGTGGAGGGGAATGTGGGGTTCGTGTCTCTACACATTGTCCCCACTGGGGAACTGGCTTGTGGACCTGTAAGAAGAGGGCTACCATCCTCTAGACTCAGAATGGTAGATCCACTGCCAGCTTGCACTGTACACTTTGAAAAGACACAGGCACTCAACACTAGCTCATGAAAACATTCATGGGGAATGTACCCTGCAAAGCAACATGGAAGGAGCTGTCCAAGGCCTTGGGGGCCCGTCCTTTGCATCAGTGTGGCCTAGATGTAAGACATGAAGTCAAATGAGATTATTTTGGAGCTTTACAATTTAGTGACTGCCCTGCTGTGTTTTGGACTTGCAAGGGGCCTGTAGCCTCTTTATTTGGGCCAATTTCTCCTGTCTGGAATGGAATCATTTACCCAATGCCTGTAGCCTCATTGTATCATGGAAGTAAGTAATTTGAACTTGTGTTTTATTTTACAGGCTCATAGGTGGAAGGGAATTGCCTTGTCTCAGATGAGACTTTGGACTTGGACTTTTGAGTTAATCCTGGAACGAGTTAAGACTCTGGGGGACTTTTGGGAAGGCATGAATGTGTTTTGAAATGTAAGAAAGACATGAGCTTTGGGAGGGGCCAGGAACAGAATGATATGGTTTGACTCTATTTCCCCACCCAAATCTCATGTTGAATTGAAATTTCTAGCGTTGAAGGAAAGACCTGGTGGGAGTTGACTGGATTATGGGGGCAGATTTCCTCCTTGCTGTTCTGATGAGAGTGAGTTCTCATGAGATTTGGTTGTTTGAAAGTGTGTAGTGCTCTCCACTTCACTCTCTCTCCTGCCTCACCATGTTAAGGTATGTGGGCTTCCCCTTCCCCTTCTGCCATGATTATAAGTTTCCTGAAGCCTCCCTGCCATGCTTCCTGTAAAGCCAGTGAAACTGTGAGACAATTAAACCTCTTTTCTTCATAAATCACCCACTCTCAAGTAATTCCTTATAGCAACATGAAAACAGACTAATACAGAGGTCTAGAGATTGATTAATGACCTAGGTATGATATACTTCATTTCGTATCCTTAGTATAGTGACTGGTTGAGCAACAACACATAACCTGAGGCCAAACAATGAGTTCCTTAGAAAACGAAAGATTTCAGGAAATTATTACTCTTTCTGCTAAGCAGCTACACTGATAGAATATAAGGCTGGAAATATCAGAAGCTACTTTTGTCACACAAGGTAAAGAAGACCTCCATACTCCCTAAAAATGAAGTCACTGGGGTCACGCAGAGCCTGAAGATGAATAAATCACATAATAAGATGATCTGAATCATTAATTCAAGCCATGCAAGAACCAGCCTTACTCCTGTTTCAGTTATGCATACTAGTTTAAGTTGTGTTTCTGTTACTTGCAATTGAGGGGGGAAAAAACCCAAAATGTAGGAGAAAATATTGCTAATGATTTATTATATAAGCACCTTAAATTATGTCAATTGCATCATTATTGTCATTTACTTCTTCCCCTAATGACTTGTACACTGGATGAGAATGTAGAATTTAAGGTCTTCCAGGAACACCTATGAAAGACTGAAATTGTTGTGGATGCTTTGGCAGAAAGATATCAAGGACTTTTGCTCTGATGTAGTGGTTGTCTACTGCTGGTCCACATACTATTGATGTTCATTGATGACATTCCACTGATACGTGAAAACGTGGGAAAATAGATTATCAGATGAGTTATTCACAAAGTCAAATGCATTCACTTGGAAGAGCTCCCTTTCCTTCTCAGATTATGACTTCTAAGCTTTTTTGGTGGAATACTGCTTTTTCTTTTTTAAATGAAATAATACCTTTAATAAATAGGTTTGTTTGTCTACTTTACAATGTGCTTTTTTAAAATTTTGCATAATAAAAGGCCAGTTTTTCTGTGCTGCACTTTCAAAGAATTTAAAGTTTTTCATTTTTTCCCCCTAGGTTTAGAAAATTCTGGGATAAACTGCTTGTAGTAATTTCCTTGAAAGTGTTTATGGTATCACAGCTGTCACTAGAGATTTTAACCAACCATCTGAAGTGAATTATTCTCTAAAGATAATGCTGAGAGACTAGTATTAAGCCATTTGCTGAATTAAAGATAGAAAAATTTTGAACGGATGAAAGCTACCAATGTATGGAGCTTCTGAAAGCCATGATTACCAGGGGCTGCTGTGGCTTCTGTAGTGTTATTGGAAACTTCATCTACGCAGAGCCAGTATAAATGACCTCCAAGATGGCGAGTCAAAAAGCAGCCACGGGGAAATACTTTTGCCAGGATTTGTAGCTGCTAGGGTAGAGACAGCAAATAAAAGACATGCTTTTCTCCCTTCCATCACCCATGGCAGATATAGCTAATTTTAAACCATGTGTTGTGCAAAGATGAATACTACTTCCCATTATAGGCCTAAAGATAATATAGTGCTCCAGTTACAAGGTATGTGCCTTTCTGCTTCAAACACACTGTTTATACATTTCTCTGTGATGCTGGAGCGGAACACTGCAAACCACATTTCTATTCATTAATTGCCTCCACCTATTGAAGAAAGGAGGTAGGGGGAGAAGGCAAGTTTGAAAGAGACAAATGGACACTCTCCTTGTTTGCGTTCATTTCTTGTCCATGTCACTCTACTTGATGTGGTTTGGCTCTGTGTCCCCACCCAAACTTTATCTTGAATAGTAATCCCCCCGTGTCAAGGGAGGGACCTAGTGGGATATGAAGAAATCATGGGTTTCCCCCATGCCGTTTACATGATAGTGAGTTCTCACAAGATCTGATGGTTTTATAAGTGTTTGGAAGTTCCTGCTTCGCTATTCTCTCTCCTGCCTGCTGTGAAGAAGGTGCTTGCTTTCTCTTCCACTTCCACCATAATTGTGTGAGTTTCCTAAGGCCTCCCAGGCCATCTGGAACTGTGAGTCAATTAAATCTCTTTCCTTCATAAATCATCCAGTCTTGGGTATTTTATAGCAGTGTGAAAACACATACTTAACAATGCTTCTAGTTCCTTACAATACCATCAATTCAATCTCATTAAGAGTTTTACAGATAAAAATCAGTCTTATCATGCCCCTCTGAGATACCAGCGCCAGCATGCCCTAGTGCCCTCCTGAAAGGCTTGGACTCTAGCTCCTCCTGGACTCTTCTTGGTTCTGAGAAATATCAAACAGTGTCCTTTTTCAAAGGGATGAGTGTCAGCTCTGTAGGGCTTCTCTTTTACACTTCTAATTCCATAAATTCTACAACTTCCATTTGTTTTCTCAGCCTTAAGGATAGTAGCTGATTTCTGGATTATTATTATTATTACTATTATTATAACAATATTATGAGTTCTGATATCTCAGAAGTGTATTAATCTCTCATATCTTACATATATATTTAATCCTCACAATAATGCTACGTGGAGAGTCCTATTATTACCCATATTTTTAAAGATAAAGGAAATGAAACAGAAAATACGATATTTGACTTGCCTGTGGTGAGATGTGAGTCATCAGAAGCCGACATTAGGAACAGCAGTGGGGAATGTTAAAAAAGGAAGGCTTCCTTGCTCAGAAATCACTAGACTTTTCTGTCATCTCAGAATAATCCTCTGGTATAAACAACTGTGGGTCAGAGAGGGGCCATGGTAGTTGGCTAGTAGTAATCCTTTAAATATCTTTCTCATTAAATAGAGATAAATATTTTCCCAAGAAGACTAAGTAGATTGGACATTTCCAAAACTTTGGAAAGATTCCTAATATCCACTGGAGAGCATAGCCTGGGATAAAGATGATTTCTACCTCTATTGTACCAAATTTTTAAAAAGTGTTCTACTCAATTATGGCCACCTGTTTCTACCCCAAATTTCTCCTTTCTAAAGTGCTGTGTTATTTACTGTGATTCTAAGAGATTTGGTGGTTAAAATGCAATACATTTCAGCTGGGCTTGGTGGTGCATGCCTGTAATCCCAGCAATTTGGGAGGCTGAGGCAGGTGGATTGCATGAGTCCAGGAGTTTGAGATCAGCCTGTGCAACATAGTGAGATCCTGTCTCTATTTTTATTTAAAAAATTAATTTATAAACATTATATATAGTGCATTTATTATATATCATATACTTATATTTTATAATGTAATATATTAAATGTGTAATTTAAATATTTAATATATTTAAAGGATTTTATACTAATATATTTATTTTACATATTTAATATACTCAAGGGTTTTAAATATTTAATATATTCAAGGAAGACTTTTAAATATTTAATATATTGAAGGAAGTGTTTAATGTATTGAATTTTATGTATATATACACATATATACATATACAAATATACACATTTGTTTACATATACACACATGTATATATATACATATGTACGTGTATATATACATATAATGCAATACATTAAATATAAAACTCTTCCTTGAATCTCAGCATAGTTATTGGTAGTTTGGAAGTGCTTATGCCATTACCATTTATAAATGCAGTGCTAATATCTTCATTTCAATTATCCTTAGAAAAGGCTACTATACCTTGTCCATATAAAATCTTATTGATCAAATATTACCAAGGAGCATGATCTGCTAAAGGTCTATAAGACCCAGTTAAATGGCTCCAGAAAATCTAAATTTGCAAAGGCTGGAGAGATCTTAACTTCAGAGAGAAAATTGAGTCAGGAATGCACAACTTTTGTGGACTCCAACATACACTGCAAACAGTCACTGGTATCTTTTAATAGTATGAAAATAAAAAATCTTTATCAAGGACTCAGACTGTCATAGCTATCATTCTAAGTATGAATCATGTTTAATTTTTTACAACAGTTCTACGTGGTGAGTACTATTATATCCACATTTTACATACTAAGAAAACTCAAATTTAAAACTATCTGAGACCCACACAGTTATATTATTTTTTCAAATAACAATGCTTGGATTAAATCTATTAAATAATTTTTAGAATTATAATGCCAACAGATTTTTCTACACAAATTTGGCTTTTTTCTGTTTTGTAAATATTTGTTTGTTCTCTGGAAGTTGGTTGAATAAACAGGCTCCTCAGATATCCTCAGATCTTACTTCCAAGCAAGCCAACTATTTATATGCAATTATAAGAAGTATAGTTTCAAGAATTAGTATGATAGAGAAGTGATAAAAATAAAAGAAATATTAAAATAAACCACTTACGTAAGTTACAATAAATTCCAATTAACTCAGTATGAAATATTATTTTGCAAAGCTTATTTAATAAATTATTACAGATATCTATGATAATATAAACCTAAAGTATTTAGAATTCTCAATTAAAGCAATTATAAGGCATCCCTCTGGAAATCGGTCTACTTATTCCTGGAAAACAGATTTCTACAAGAATCTGGACTCAGTAATAACAATGATAGCAACATATGTAGGACATATAATTATGTATTTTTACTGAGAATCTAATAGGAGATCTAATATATATATGTGTGTGTTCATATATACTTACATATATTTTCAAATATAATATTAGTTAATAGTCTGTTGAAATATTTGATACACTACAATTTTTATATAATCCAATAATGAATGCAAGAAACAAGCAAAATTTTAAACATATTTTTGAGGACATTAGGTATATTATTGCTTTCAAAATTTGTCAAGATTCGTAATATTACTGATAAGATACAGGATTCTTTCCTTCCTGTTTAATTGCTTACCACCCCCACCCTCAACACACACACATAAGAAAGCATATTGCATGTATTTTGGTGTTTTTACCTTCCGTATTAGCCGTTTTCACGCTGCTGATAAAGATATAACTGGGACTGGGCAATTTACAAAAGAAAGAGGTTTATTGAACTTACGGTTCCACATGGCTGGGGAGGCCTCACAGTCATCGCAGAAGGCAAGGAGGAGCAAGTCATATCTTACGTTGATGGCAGCAGGCAAAGAGAGAGCTTATGCAGAGACCCCTGTTCTTAAAACTATCAGATCTGGTGAGATCCATTCACTATCACGAGAACAGCATGAGAAAGACCCACCCCCAAGATTCAATGATCTCCCACTGGTTCCTTCCCACAACACGTGGGAAGTATGGGAGCTACAATATGCGATTTGGGTGGGGACACAGGGCCAAACCATATCACCTTCGTAATTTTGAGATGACACATTATACAACCCTCCTAAAACTTGTAGGAAGGCTTATGATGAAAAACAGAAACAAAACAGATCAAAAGGAAATACTGATATTGCAAATTGCTTGGCAGTTTTTGTTTGTTTTTCAGATTTCAGCACTCCAAATCTGGAAAACTTAAAAATGTATGTATTTAATTTAAATGTCAAGTTGTGATCTAGCTTTTGCTTGGATGGAGTGATAAAA
This sequence comes from Homo sapiens, assembly GCF_000001405.40. NCBI lineage: Eukaryota > Metazoa > Chordata > Mammalia > Primates > Hominidae > Homo > Homo sapiens. Next base: position 55,206,355 of record NC_000010.11, read on the forward strand.
GATCACTACTTTTCCAAGTCTCTTTCCCATAAGTCAGGTATGGTGCACTCCACAGACACTGATGGCAAATGCCATCATCTGGAAGGCTAATTTTAACCAGAAAAGTCTGGGTTAGTAGTTTTCTCTCAGCTTGTCTTTAGTTAGTTACTTAACTTGAGTTTCAGTGCAGGCTTGGGACTAAAGTAAAAAGAATTTTGTGGGTTTGAGGTCAGACTATGTGAACTATTGATTCTTTCTCTTCACAATTAACATCACATAATGCTATAATTAATATAAGTGCATTTAAAACTTAGACTACAACTTTAGACACATTTTGGAGCAGTCTGTTTTCCTATTCAAGTTGGTAATATCTACATTTAAATACTTATATCACATATTAAATAATGAAATATCATTCTGATGTTGTTTGAAAATCAGAGGTCTTTAAATATCTGAGTACTTAAATATGGAATCAAAGTTATTGCCTGAATAAATAATTTTGAAATTTTGGAAAATAGGAAATTAAGCTAAAAGTAGATAGATATGATGAATGATTTTTGACCTCTTAAATAAATCTCATAAATGTGAATTTTTATACTAATTTGTGGACTTTTTTGATAGAGTTAGTCGGGTTCAGATCTCTCTATATTGATCTCTCTTTCTCTTTCTCTTTGTTTCTCTCTATATATATCAGAATACGCATAATATTTTCTCTCACACCCTTCTAACCCAAGAATCAAGTAATAATCATCAAATTAAGCACCTCAGAGACTCTTTGCCATCAGAAGTCGGGAGTAATTACTTCTCTGAAAAACTTTGTTATTTATTAAATAGTAATTTAGCACTTACAACATGATGAATTTGCTTAATCATTTTTTGATATAGCAGGAATAAGACATATATATTCCATATCAATATGGAACTTGTATGCCATATGTTGAGACACATACAATTTAGTAGTATGGTTTTACATTACACTCTCCCCTAAATCTCAGTCTGCCCTAAACCTCAAGAGTATTCCCTAAACCTCAGAAGACTGAAGCGTATTTGCCTAAATTAGTAGTTGTCAGGCCCGAGTAACCACTATGCATTTCACATTGCTAAGAATGGCTCCGTTATTTAGCCAGTCAAGCCTAGAAACTCTGAATTTGTTGTGGCCCAAGTAGTCTTAATGCCGAATTTCTGATAGACTGATTGATTGACTACCAAGTTCTCTTTCAAATTACTAAAGTCATTAAGGGCACCAAATTAAAACATAGCTAAGCATTTTTCTACTCAGATAGTTATAATCAGTGGGAAGATATTTTTTCTTGTTTTTTTTGAAAATAAAATAGGTTCAAATTAATACATACAGGCTGGATGCCATGGCTTACGCCTGTAGTCCCAGCACTTGGGAGGCTGAGGCGGGCATATCACCTGAGGTCAGGAGTTCAAGACCAGCCTGGACAACATGGTGAAACCCGTCTTTATTAAAAATACAAAAAAATTAGCTGGGCGTGGTGGCACACACCTGTAATTCTAGCTACTTGTGAGGCTGAGTCAGGAGAATCACTTGAACCTGGAAGGCAGAGGTTGCAGTGAGGCGAGGCTGCACCACTGTACTCCAGCCTAGGTGACAGAGTGACAGTCTATCTCAAAAAACAAACAAACAAACAAAAAATTAATAGATACAGATATATATTTTTAACTCATGGGATTTATTGTAATGAATGAATAAAAGATGCTTGAATATTCTATAATTTCACAGTATTCTTTTGCTTACTTTCTTGGCAGAGATGTAAAAACATATTGATTATATAGAGTAGATACTTATTTTGTAGAAATAAAAGTGTATGGAGAAATCTTTGCAGATGTATTTATCAATATAAATGGAAGAACATTTGTTGCCCACTAAATAAATAAATATTGGAGATATTTCCATACAAGTGTTCTGCTTATCAAAAGAAAACAAAATCAAAACGCTTGTTCCATCCTTTGTTGCCCTTTAGCTGCCACTGTGTTATCTCCACAAGTATGATCTTGTAAAGAGTCATCTCTGGATTCAAACTTTTTCCACTCAACTCTCATTCTTCTCATACCACAACCTGCTTCCCACCTCTCACATTCACCTCCCCCCACATACTCTAAACTTAGTAATTTCAATAACCTTCTATGTCTTTGCTTTCAACTTGCTCATATTTCTCCAACATTTTCCAGGTAATTCTCAATTTTAGAATATCTTTTCCCAATATTGGGAAAAAGAGGGAAAAGATATTCTAAAATTCCCTTCTCACTTATATAGATGTAGGACTCCTTAGCCAGGAATACTGCTACTCCTTTATCAAATCATACACTTTTTTTGTCTGCCGGCTTTTCACATATTTGCTCCTATTCAAATTTCCTTTCCTACATACCCCTGGGATGCCTTCCATGATTATGAAGTAGGTGCTTAAGGAAGCTTGACAAAATGAATTGTTTAAAACCTATTATTTAGTTATTTAACAATATTGTTGACAAGTTACTATATACCATGCACTATTTTAGGTACTATGAAGGAAACAACATACATGCTCCCTTATATCAAGGAGATACAGTATACTTGGGCAAGTAAAAGGAAATAATGAACTAAATTAAAATTACAACTGTAATAAGCACTATGGAGATGGGAAATAGTAACATGGGTCCATTTATAACACAAATATCTGTTATATTCTGGGGGACTGAAGGTTTTCTTAAGGAAGTGACATTTGAACTGAGATAGAAACAAATCATATAAACAGGATAAAAAAGAAAAGCGTCAAGTGAGAAGACTGTTAAATGATGATGAATTTACACAGGCAAAGAAAGACCTTGTAACATGATACATTCAAGGCACTGAAACAACAGAGTGGAGGCTGGTGGAATGTGTAAAGGAGATGGAGACAGGATTGTGGCTTCTGTAGAAGTGGCTTGAACTGAGATGATGCAGAACCTTAAAAACTGTCTTTTATTCTAAGAGCAATGAAAAGACATCAGATGATTCTGAAGAGAGAGATGACTTGAAAATATGTACTTTAAATCCATCACTCTAACATATTTGTGAACAATGGAGAGTAGGACTCAAGGACAGATACAAGGAGACAAGTAAGGAGGCTATTGTACTGGTCTATGGTAAAGGACGATGTGAGCACAAGTGAAGGTGATGGATGAGGACGTGAGGAAAAGTGGACAAATTAAAGATAATGGAGGGGTGGGATAAAAACTGTCATAACTTAGTATTGGTTTGGACATATGAAAATGAGGGAGGAAATAATCCAGGACCACTCCTGGGTATTTTGTTTGTGCAGTGGATGAATAAATGATTCTATTCATTGATATACATAATGGTGGAAAAGAACTAGACTAATAGAATTGAGAGTTGAGAAGGGGCATGGGAGAGATTATAAATTATGTTTTTTAAATAACATGAGTTTTAGTGTTTGAGATTAATTAGTGAAAATACCAATTTAGTATCTGGATATAAGCACTATGCTCAAAAAAGCGATCCATGCTAAAGATTTGTATGTGTGATTCATGCATATGTTGTTGGTAGTAAAATCATGGATCAGATATCCTAGAAAATAAGGAGACAGAGGAGGAACAAGTGAAAAGATTCTAGAACTAAGCCTTGAAGAAATTCAAGTTTAATATGATAGAAGAATGAGTGTGCAAGAAATTAAGAAAGAACAGCCTAAGAACTATGAGAAGAACCAGGAAAGCTATCATAGAAGCCAAAAAAGAGGGGTTTTGGGAAGAGGCATAAATTTCAAAAGCTTAAAAATGAAGAAAAAAACACAAGGAAAATGAGATCCAGAAAAAAAATCAATTGAGATAAATGAATGTAATTACTAATCCAATTAAAATTTATAGTGTTACAGCAGATGATGCCACATTATACTATAGAGGACAGAGTCATGGGGCCACGAATAACAGAAAATTAAACCTAACAGCAAAAACAATCTTATAATCTAGAAGTTAAGTCACTTATGAAGTTTTTAACCCCAGAAAATAGTAGATAAATAAAAGTAAAATGAATACATATGTTAATTTTTTTGAAGAAAAGATCACTGAAGTATTTGAGGAAAGTATAAGAGACCACAACATTTAAAACATAATTTGAAGAACATAGACAATAGCAAAGGAAGCATAGACATCTGGTAGAAACGACCAACACATGATATCAGAACTAATGGGGAAATGGTGTAGTTGAAGCATGGAGGAATTTTGCGGGGGGAAAAAAAAGCTAATTGAATTTGGCTCTCACGATTTTTTTTTCTTTTTTCTTTTCTTTTTTTTTTTTTTTTTTTTTTTTTTTTTTTGACGGAATCTCGCTCTGTCGCCAGGCTGGAGTGTAGTGGCGCGATCTCGGCTCACTGCAATCTCTGCCTCCCGTGTTCAAGTGATTCTCCTGCCTCAGATTCCCTAGTAGCTGGGACTACAGCCGCGCACCACCACGCCCAGCTAATTTTTGTATTTTTAATAGAGATGGGATTTCACCATGTTGGCCGGATGGTCTTGATCTCTTTACCTCGTGATACGCCCGCCTCGGCCTCCCAAAATGCTGGGATTACAGGCGTGAACCACCGTGTCCGGTCTGATGATTCTTTTAATAACTGACTGTAAATATAGAGTCCCTCTCCCTGTAACCCCCTTGAAACGTTTTTGATTTATCAGCAGATAACTAATCAGAACATATTGATGTTTTTAAGAAGATTCCTCAGGGCAGCTTGAATGGAGGGAACAGAGACTAGCATCAGCCCAGCTAGCCTTAGAAATGGCAGGGTCAAGGTAATGAAGATGTGATGAAGGCAGTGGTAACAAGAATGAGACCAAAGGGGAAAGTGGGAGACAGCTTGAAGGAGAAAATGGAAGTCCTCTGTAAATAACTGGATAACATGGATGATAGGTTAATATTATAAAGGATGCCATATTTCAAGTGAATAGAATGCCCCACCAATACAGAAATGGAATTTAGAAAAAAGCCAGTAAATAGCCAATGTATAATTGATTAGCAACTGAGTGTTAAAACATAATGCTTTTTCTAATAAGAGCTTAAATTCTGTTGAAATGTAATCATTTGCATTTCCAATGATAAAACACACAAGGAAAGCTAGTAAACAATTCATTTGGAAAATATAAACATTTAGGGAAAAAGAAATTCACATAGAGCTATCAAACTAGTGTTAAGTGCTTGGCTAACAGTTCAATACTGATTACTTTTCCTCTCTCTCTACCCAAATATTGCTTCTGAATATATGACCTTGAATATATTTGCAAAGGATGATTGATATTTCTAAATAGCATTAAGTGAAGTTATTTTCCACTCAAAGACCAAATATTAACATTTTCAGATTAAAATTATAAACCAAGAAGCCAATAAAGCGGGCAGACACTAAATATATATAGACAAATTGACTTAAAGTGAACAAAGAAAGTTACTATAATGAGTTAACCCATAAGGAAAACCTACGTATATGTAAAACCTAGAAATTCGGACTTAAGTTATTTATAGAAATGATACAGAAGGTAGAAAGAAATCATTTATGCAGATATTGAAGGTAAAAGAGTCCTTGGCAGCTTCCCTTTTAACAAAAAGCAGCCCCCCAAATAAATTCTTTTCTAACAAAGAGCAGCCTGAAAAATTTGAGCTGCAAACCTAGACAAGCAAGTTGGAAGCTTGCACGGTGGAATGCCGGCAGCTGTGCCAATAGAAAACAGCTACCTGTGGGCCAGGCATATCCAACATGGAGGCTCCATCTTCTTTTTTGTTGTTACCACATGCACAGTAAAGAAATGGGCAACATGGTGCAGCTCAGGCAGAACTGCATAATAAAAGATTAGGTTGAGGGAGGCCAGAAATTTGCACCCTATGCAGGTGGCACATCTAGTCCTAACCAGTTTTTCACAGCCTATGCAAATGACACACCTAGTCCAACCAGTCTTTCCTACCCTGTGTAGATGAGACATCACCTCTTCACCAGCTCATCTATAAAAGCTGCTTCATTTTACTGCAGATCCAGTAACCCATTTCTCCAGGACCCCTCTCTGCAGCATCAGAGAGCAATTCTCTTTCTTTTGCCTATTAAACTTCCACTCTTAACCTCCCTCTTTGTGTGTCTGTGTCCTTGTTCTCCTTGACTGTGGCTGTGGGACAACGAACCTTGGGTGATACTCCAGACAATGAAACTGTTTCAGAAAGAGATCCCTATAATCAGGAATGATAATTTAAATAGTTAACAAGGGGAACTTAACATCAGTAACTTACTAAACAGAGCGCATGAACTGAGTGGGAATGACAGTCAGGGATGTTCCTGCTCTGTGAAAGATTAAATTTGATGCTAGATTCCGGGAAGCTCTGGGTCATGTGAGTAGGGGTCCATAAAAGTCAGCAGAGTAGCATAAGCCTGAAGTTCTTCAACAACAGGTTAAGAAATACTGCAGTTCTTTAATCATAGGCGGGTCTCTACCACAATGTACCATCTGAATGTCAGCATTGGCTATAGTCCTACTTTCTATTCAAAATCTATCAAATAATTTTTTTCCTAAAATAAATTTTTTTACTTTCCACCTTAAAGGTTATATTATTCAGGGAATAGTTTTTAGTAAATTACAGCATGTATTCTTATTATAAGGTAGAACAGCAGAGCTCAACATTACCTCACCAAAGTGTCCAAGCTAGAAACTTTCTTATTCTTCCTAATTCCTTCTGTTCAAACACATAGGCATATAAAGACATGATTAAAATAGCATAATGGTTCTTTTACTGAACTGTGAGTCGCAATTTCTGGCGTAGAAATTAAGTGTTTGACTCATCTTTTCATTGTATCATCTGGCATGGTTTTGGGATCATAGCAGATATTTAGACAATGAAAATAGATGGTTGGATTAAAATATGTGCATACATAGGCATGAGGATGGATGGATAAATCATTATCATCTATTAGTTTCACGAATCTTCATTTACACTACCTAAATGAATAACTTCATAGAGCTACTTGGGAAGTTCTCCCCTTGCAGTTTATGGAAGAAGCTTTTCCTTGATCAGATAAGTATTATTTCCTTGAGTGTTTGGTAGAACATTCGATTAAAACAGTTACCAGGGGTGTACTTTCATCTAAACATTTCAAGTCACCAATTCAATTTTGTTAATGTTTATAATACCTTTCAGATTTTCTATGTTAACTTTGAGTTCATTTTTATAAGTTAAATTTTTTACATTTGTGTTTTTTAGTGTTTACATTTTTTGGCATAAATGTATCTTATATTTTTAATCTTTTAAAAATCTTAAATATATGTTATATTTATATTAAGTCCTCTTCCCTTTCTAGTATTGTTTATTTATGTTTTCTTGTTTTCGCCCCATGGTCAATTTCACAAAAACTTTCTCATTCTTCTTAATGTTTACAATACAAAAACTTTTAGTTTATTGAACTTCTTTATTGCATTTGTTATTTTATTATCTTCTATCATAACTATCACTTTCTTCTTTCTTATTTCTTCCAGCTTATTTTGTTTTTCCTTTATAATTTGATTAGCTTTCTATTTAATTCTTAATTTTCAGCATTTTTGCTTCCAGTATAAACATTAAAAATCAAACTGACTTTAGCTATATTGCATGCATTTTGATATGTGATGTTATTATTTCAATTCTAAGCATTACCTAGTTTCCATTAGAAGCTCTTCTTCAACTCAAAATTATTTAGAAGTTTATTCCTAAATATATGATATTTTATGTTATCTTGTTATTGATTTCTAGCTTAAGTGCATTGTGTTCAAAGAACATATTCTCTATGGTACTTGTTTTTAAAAATATGTTAGAACTGGTTTTATCACTTTATATGTCATCAACTTTTATAAAACAGTACTTGGAAAGCAAAGGTGTGTTTTCCAGTTGTTAAATGCACCAATTAATATACATTGAATAGTTAAAGCTTTTAAATTATCTTAAGTCCAAATTTTATATAGCCTTATCATTTTTTTATTATTATTTTCATAGACTAACTACTGAGAGAGGTATGACAAAGTTTCTACAATCATGATATATTTATTTATTTCTCTCTGCAGTTACATTGTTTTTTCTTTATGTATATGGAAAATTATGTATTTAGACACGCACAAGTTTAAATTTTTTTTTGTCCTGGTGGAATTAGAACTTTTATCATAATACATGACCATTTTATATCCAAATTTTTTTGTCTTAAATTCCTTGTTATCTGGTATTTATTCTTTTTTTTTTGTGGGATGGGAAAGGGTTACATTTTCCTGGCATATATCTTTTAATCTTTATTTCAAACTTTATGTTTCATGGACTGTTTTTATTTGTTTTTTAAGAGATGGGTTCTTGCTACATTGCTCAGGCTGCTCTGGAACTCCTGGGCTCAAGAGATCCTCCCAACTCAGTCTCCAGAGTAGCTGGGACCAAAGGTACATACCACTATGCTTGGCTTTAGATGTTGTACCCTGTTTAACCAGTCTGTAGTACTGACTCATATATCATATTGTTTGCACATTTCAATAGCAAACCACTGTAATAAAGACTCTCTGGCCTTCTCACTCCTAAATTCTATAATCTGTTTTACAGTGTAATGGTAGTGCTTCTGGCTATGCTCAGGTAAGCTTGAATTTGAGAGAGAACTCTTCTACGAGGTATTACATATTTATTCACTTTAATGCACTCTTTATTTCTTGTTCATCTGAGTAAGTAAAACATACATTGTGAATTCTTATGTAGGATTTAAGTAGAGTTTGAAGTTGAAAAATATATTAAAGCTAATTGGCCCCCAAAGGGCTCAAATCCATGATCTTAGACTCATTAGCTCTGAGCATCTAAGTAAGACAAATACAACAATGAATCCATTATACAGCAAGAAAACAACATTAAATATTTTAAAACTTTAACTTGTTGACTTTGAAAATTGAAGAAAGGCAGAGATGCAACTTTCTTTTTAGTACTGAATTATTTATCCTTCATATTTGAATTCAAGTGATAATTCAGTGTGTACTTAGGCCTGATGTAGTTAGCATTGGCAAGTAGTTATGCATTTGTACAGTGGGCAGTATTCTGCATGTGAGCACATACATGAATCCAGTTACCTTATCATTATCTTTCACAATTCTACATAAATTATTTTACAATCCCTTATTGTGATTACATTCTTTACTTCCCTCCTTGTTAATTTAGTACTAAGCAACTTGTATGTAATGAAAACAACACAGGTCACATGTGCAAAATTTAAGACTGTATTAGGTAGAGGGGAAAATGAAATATTGCATCACTTTTTTGCCTTATCAATGTAAATTGATAAGTGTTGTATGTATACTACTCAATGGATACTAATAAATTCTTAGCTAGGGCTTCCATGGCAGGATAATTTTCATTAGTACCCAATGCAGTGAGCAATTTTATGAACATCATGTAATGTGTGAGCATCTGTTTTCATGTTCTTCCAAAATTACCTTCAGTTGTCTGTGATTCTAGCAGTAGTTCCTCATATGTTATAGTCACAGCTGTTTTTCTGTGTCTCAGAGACATCCAGGATTTCTGAAGTTACAATCTTGATGTGTTATGACACAACACGAAGCAGTATAATGCAGTGCTTGACAGTTGTATGGGAGTAGAGAAAGCATTAAGAAGAGATATTAAGAGCACAGACTCTGGCATTTGGTAGCTTTGATTCCATTTGCAGGTCTGTTACTTACATGTATTATCTAGGGCAAATTAATGAATTTATCTGTGCCAATTTTTCCTTACATGTAAAATATATTAATGCTCACCACCTAGAAAAAAAAATGAGGAAGCACATATAAAAGTCCTTGGCATAGAATAGGTGCTCAACAAATGTTAGTTTATATTGCACATCTAGTTTAATTTTGTCCTTATATAAATCTTCTGATATATGTTGAAAGTCATATTTGGGTCTGAAATAACTAAATGTGTGGTGGTTACTTAGGAAAAGTTTCCTAGTTTTTCTGTTCTACTGATATTTTCAATTTCAATTATTAAATATGTTACAGAATTAATAACTTTAATTGTATCTCTTTGTTAGAAGTCAATTTTTAAATAAAAATTTACAAATACGGTATACACCAATTTATAGCTTTGGTAAAGTGCCAAAAAGAAGTGGAGGAATGGAAAGAGACTTGTCAAGGAGTACAAAGTTACAGTTACATAGTAGAAATAAGTTCTGGTGTTCCATAGCATAGTATGATGGCTAGGGTTAACAATATATCTTTTATTACAAAATAGCTAGAAGACAGGTTTTTAATGTTCTCATCACAAAAAAAATGATAAATGTTTAAGGTGATGGATATGCTAATTACCTTGATTTAATAATTATAAAATTTATATATGTATTAAAACATGTTGTACTCCATAAATCTGTACAATTATTATGTGTCAATCTTGCACTCAAAAAATTTTACCTAAGCCTGTTGTTTTTCCTATGTGACTAAGACAAAGCAATGTTTGAGAAATATAGAAGTCTGTTAGGCTGTTTTCCGTCAGGTTGTCACATATCCTCAGAGCCTTGATACCTAATAGACATTTGTTTTTTTCTCCATGTAAGTAAAGCTTGGTTTATTTGCTAAATTTATCCTGCTAAAACAAACTCTTTCTGTGAATTCTACAAAACACAGAGATGCTAAACTGAGGGTCTCATGTTTGCATACAGTTTGGTATTTTGGCATATGACTTATAATATGATTGGAACATACATGCAACATATAAAAGTTCTTCACAGAAGAATGGTAGGGGGTGGGTTCCTGAACACAGAACACAAAGATTCAGCTGAATGAACATTGGTAACTGAGAAATAAACCCCTGTGATATATATGACACTGTAAATTGCTGTTAAAGCAATGTTTTTGGTCAACTCGAAAGAAATTTGTGAGACAGTTTTCTAATGGTTACTTTTATCTCTTACTCACCGAAAACATATCAATAGATAGGGAAAATATTTTCATAAAATGCTTTTCAATTTTAAATAAAAATGGTAGAAACAAATTGGTTTTTGCCATAATAAAACTCTCAAAATATTTTCTGTTGCTGAGTGTACGTTGCTTGGTCATATCAATTCACAAATGCTTTAAAAACCTTCGTATTTTTATGTTTATATTTTCTATTTTTTATGTTCACTGTTAAACGTTTTAAAAATGAAAGATTCTATTATTCTTTCGCAAATGATACACATGAAATAGAGCTCAAGGATCTGACATGCTCACAATTCATGTGCTTTAAAAATAAATTTCCACAAAGCTATTATTGATCAAGGGACATTATATTCATAATGCTGAATCATAATAGAACAGCTTTATAAAGCATTACTAGCTAATATACAACAGAAATTAATGAACACTTGCTAAAGATGATTACAAGATACTTCTGTTAAATGACACAAAAGAAAAAAAAACTGCTAGCCATCACATAAAACACTGCTATTTTTCTTTTTGTACATAAATACTTAGCTAATCAAATGGTATTTTATGTCTTAATCAAGGGGTGAACTGCTGGAAAAAAAGAAAAGAAATTTCATGTTTGTGGAAGGGATTCTTTTTACTTGTTAGTCTAACAGCTTTTTTGTAAACATAAGAATCTTACTATGAAGCACAAAATGTACAGATTTTAAAAAATGCTTTCTGTCATGATCAGTATGCAGTGCCTTAAAATCCTGTCAGTAGGAGCATTCCTCTCTTTTTAGGAAGAGTTCTCCTGACACTTTCTTAGCCATTGGGTTATTTAGAACACCAACTATCCTTTCCTTGTATTCAGTATTTCTAGTCCTCACAATAACCTTTTAAAATAGGCATGTGTGTTTCTATTTTGCACATGAGAAAGTGAAAGCTCAGAGCAATGAAATTTATTGTTCCCAATCACATGGATAGCAAGAGGATTTGTGTTTCCAGTACAATCTTAACAAACTCCAAAGGCCACTTCTTTCCTCCACACCACATTTCCTCTCTAGTGAAATCTATGGAGTACATTGTATATTAAATACAGTAGCCACGAGTTAACGAAATAATAGGAAGCAGATGAAAATAATATAGAATAGAAAAAATGGTGATATGAATGAGGAAAAGCAATGGAAAGAGGAGAGGAGAGAAGCTAGTGGTTCACATTATTATTTTTTGCCATTGACTCTTTTTCTGGAAACAGCTCTTGCCTTTGGTCTGGAGAACATCCTTCCCTGACTCAGCCTAGTAGCTTTGGGTAAGCTGATTAAAGTGCAAGCAATACATGTGGAGCACTTGATCTACAGTTATGTCAATCACATACTTCATTCAGTCATCCTTCGTTGATAGGTAAGCCATCAAAGCAAGTTAAAATCAATCTGGGAAAATCATGTGTTTGTTGAGATCAATATTTGCTTTTCCTGATGGATTTGGACTGTAAGGTGTGGAAAACTTTGGGCACTTTGCTGAGCCTCTCTGAAAATGGAGCTATCTCAAATGAGGGGGAGCTAAGAGATAAAGCTCTGTGACCCCATTTGACCTCATTTCTGCCTGCATCTAAATCCTCATCTACACTCCGGTTCTTCAATTATAAGAATTCTTCCACTTTTTGTGTAAATCATTTTGTATTTTTCATATGTAAATGACAGCCAACATCTATATTTTGTTGATTTCTCCATTTATAGCTGGGTTTATATAATAAAATGAATATCATTCACAGGAAAATGAGTCTCTGGGAAGCAACATTCTCTCATAATTATCAAGTGACTTTGTTTTAATAATCTCTATGCTTACTGCTCCTTCTGGTAGAAATATTGATGTGAGGGGCCTTAGATCAAAATTCTTTAGGAGGAAATTTTCACTAATCTCAGTATGTTTCACCCTGTCAGATATATCCCAGATAAAGCTTCCTCATGATCAGTAGACCATAAATAAGTAGGGTCTTCTCTATTTCTAACGTGGCTATACATCCTGTTGTGCTTAGGGTCATGATCACTATGTATGCCTATTTTTCTAGTATAATTACTGATTGTGCCTTCTTTCATCTCAAAATGGTTCCCGGTTGCAAGATAAATTCTATACTTATATTATTGCTAACAGTCCCGATGCAGCACTGAATCATTACAACATTAAGGATGGCTATATTTTTATTTATGGTCAGATATATGTACCTAAAGTTCATGATACTTTATTATTGCTTTTTTCTTGCATACATCGTATATTGGTACTCTCACTTTTTTTTCCTGTGGCAAAACTTTTAATTAATATACTGTTTCAGAATATCAGAAACATATATAATAATATAAATTTTCTTATATATTTAATTTTGAATCAAATGCCTTTTAATATTCAAATATGATAAAGTAAATGGCAGTGTCACAAAAGTTTTAAGGAAAATTTATAGCAATAATTTGAGAAGATAACATTTAGTTTTTTTTAAAGACTAACATTCATTGTTAGATGCCTCCGTTTCCAGCTAACATAATGTAATTGTTTAATGAGTACATAGCAAGGAAAAATAAGGAGCTGAAGAACTAATTGTTTTTCAAAACAATATTGGAGGTGTTTCACAGAATGTTAGGCCTAGCGATCCTGATATCAGTCACACACACACACACACACACACACACACACAGTGAATTTCCTAACATGTTAGGTCATCAATAAATGTTCTATTTATAAACTCTCCAATATCTTTAAGGGACCACATGCTATGGTAGACCACATGGATACCTCCTGTATCACATGAGATATCAGAAATAAAGCCACAAGTTATTATTTTATTTCTCTATTTTCTTGGCTAATTACCCTAAAACATTCCTAGTTTTTATACTTAAGGCCCTATGTCTTATAAATCCTCTCAGTCCTAAGTATATTGATCACCCTATTGGTGACTTATCATAATGGTACCAAACATTGCAGTGTAGTACATCAAGGAGTTGTACCAGCAAACTCTCCCTGATCTGAACCAAACGAGATAACCTGATGTTTCCATATTTTCTTCTTATTTTCAAAGTGTAAGTCTCGCTCTTTTTTTAAAACACATTTTTGACTTATAGAATTTAATTTTATGGCACGATACAGGAATCTAACTTGTCATTTAAAAAATAGCTAATTGCCCTAGAATCATCCACAGAAAGATATACAGTCATGTGTCAGTTAATAAAAAGGATGCATTCTGAGAAATGCATTTTTAGGCAATTTCCTTGTTGTACGAACATTATAGAGTATACTTACACAAGCCCAGGTGGTATAGCCTACTATATACTTAGGCTATGTGGTAAAGACTATATTTCTCCTAAGCTAAAAATCTGTACAGCATGTTACTATACTAAATGTTGTAAGCAATTACAACACAATGGTAAGTACGTACGTATCTAAACTTAGAAAAGATACAGTGAAAAATATGATATCATGATTCTCTGGGGGCATGATCATATACACAATCTGTTGTTGACAGAAACATCATTATGTGGCACATAAATGGATATTTTTTCCTATGGATATAAAAATCATATATATTTGACACTTTGTTGTTGTTAAGTTAGGTAATTAGGTACACATTTTCCATTCAGTGTTTTTTTGTTTTTTGTTTTCTACAGATTCCTCACTGGGCTTTATTTTTCTAGGTAAAATTTATAATTAGCTTGTAAATTATAAAATAAATTCCATCTGGTACGTTCAAGATGTTTGTAGCAATGGCCTCATTCATAATAGTTAAAACCTGGAAACCACCCAAAGGCTCATCATCAGGATATACATTCATATAATGTGATGCTTTTCAGCAATGAAAAGAATCAAGTCCCTAATACTCATGACAACATGAATGGATCTTAAAAATGTGGAGTGAAAGAAAGCAGAAACAGATAGCACACACACACACTCACACATACATTGCACAATACATAGTGTGTGTCCAAGAACAGGCAAAATTAGTCTATGGTGACAGAATTCAGAATGTGGTTGTCTCTGGAGTGGAGGTAGGGTTACAGAACAGAGACATGAGCAGTGATGTGCTGTTGAATGTCTAGGCTTTAAAATATGGATATGTGTATATAAATGTTTATTAAAAATTTTACTGATATAAAAATATGTAGCAATATTTACACATAATAAAATATACAGTGCTCTTCTTTGTAAATTTCATACAGCCTGTAAACTGTTTTTGCTGATGTTTACTGTTCTCTGGTATCTGTTGATATTATTGCAATTCAACCATGGCTAGACAAATAGAATCGTGTCGCTACCTGTTCATGTTTGTCCCAGTAAATTTATTGTCATTAAATCTGGTATTTGACCTACTGTAAATTACCACACTCTCTCATAAGATACATTCATTAAGCTGAAATCTCATTCAGCTCCAGAATTAATTTCAAGTTACCAGTGTGATGTTTAACTGAAGGTGGAGTTAAGACAAGATACACAGTGACACATGTATGCACGTCCTCCATAGAAGTGTAGTATATGTCAATAACCTTCACACCATAGATATGGTAAAATGTAGAAAAACAATTAGAAATCAAGAAATCTAGACTATTTCCTTTTTAAAATGTTTATTTAATATTGTTTCTATAATTTATTTATTTTTATCATTATTTTTTTTTTTTGAAATGGAGTCTCACTCTGTCGCCCAGGCTGGAGTGCAGTGGCTTGATCTCAGCTCACTGCAACCTCCGCCTCCTGGGTTCACGCCATTCTCCTGCCTCAGCCTCTCGAGTAGCTGGGACTACAGGCACCCGCCACCACACCCGGCTAATTTTTTTTTTTTTTTGTATTTTTAGTAGAGACGGGGTTTCACCGTGTTAGCCAGGATGGTCTCGAGCTCCTGACCTTGTGATCCACCTGCCTCGGCCTCCCAAAGTGCTGGGATTACAGGTGTGAGCCACCGCGCCCAGCCTATATAATTTAATTTTTAATTATTTCCCTGTTTAACAACATGCTTGTGAAATGCCTCAAATATTAACAATTGTTCCTGATAAGCTAGTACTAGCTAATGTCAACCTCTCTGCAGTGATAGTCATATTCTGTAACTTGTTTTGAATAGTAGTTATATGGGTGTATTCCATTATCAAAATGTATTCAGTTTAACAGACACAAAAATACATGTCAAACTTTGTGTTAGACTTGCATTTAATATATATCTTTTGGAAAGGTGAGAGGAGAAACAACATCTTTAAAATATTGATTCTTTTCATCCAGGATTATGATATGTCTGTCTTTTTATTTTTATTAACGTTGTAAAATGGTATTTTTCTTTGTTCATTGTTTATTTTCTTTTTCTTAACGTGCCAGCTGGAGAACTACTAATGTATAATTATCTTTTTATCCTACTGAGTTTTCTTTATAATTTTAAGACTCCTTGGTTGATTCCTTGATTCTCTTATCTGCCAGGTTGATTGTCATCTACAAGTAATGATAATTTTATATCTTTATACACACACACACACACACACATATATATATATATATATATATATATATATATATATATGTAGTTCCTCTCTCTTTTATTTGTTTTGGGATATTGTTTTCCCATGGTGATTTAAGTGAGAAATGTCATTCTAAAATTTGGGCATCTTGAATTGAGACCAAAGCATGAGTTAATCCTGGATGAAGCACAAATTATAGTGAAATCTTTTATCTTTGTCCATAGTTATTGATAACAATTTTTTTGATTACATTTCTTTACACATTCTTTAAATCTTTCTTAACAGACTGAATCTCAGTTTAAACCAGCATAGTCCCCACAGTGCTTTCTGCAATGATGGGAAGGTTTTATACCTGTGCAGTCCATTAGGTTATTCAATGGCCCCATCAGGCTTGTGCACAAAGTAAATGTTGCTTATGTGACCGAGGTATTAATATTGAGCATAATTTTATTTATTTTCATTTAATTTGTTTAAATAGCCACAACTGGCTAATAGCTACTACATTAGATAATGAAGATTTAAACACTTGTATGTGCCAAGAGGCTATTGCCAATAAGTTAAAAGCCCCTTGGTCATAGAGCCTCCATAGTAAATCTACAACTTTAACTACAATAACCTCAGCTTTATCTTTCTCACTGCAGCTTTTACATGCACCTTTTTCAAGGATACAGTCAAGATTTTTCTTTGGTAATTATTTTGGTTTGTTTTGTACTCCTTGATAACACTGTAAACATTCTAATATCTATTTTATTCAGAATTCCCAATGCCTATGACTATATTGAAAGAGTTGTAAGAAACGTAGTCTCTTTTCCTGCCTCCTGGAAACTGGGCTAAAATGCTGACATCAACTCATTTGGCAACTTGATATATAGGAGGTCCTCTTTTTCCTTTTATGACTACAGATTTGGAAACATCTTCATAATAGCACAATCAAAACTCTGCCCCCTCATTAAATTTACACAAGCAAGTTATCAACAACCAGGCCTTGTCAATGAAAGATCACTATGAAGCCATAAATGTGAGTATACGATTTATTGTAAAAATAAGTAAGCAGTAATCTGCTAAACTCTGGTCTTTAAAATAAAGGAAGATTTTGCCAAATATAGATGGGCTGATTTCTAACAATTGTAAATTATTAATCCTTGATAAAGTTTCCCCTATAATTGAAAATTTTACCTTTCAGTTTACCGCACATAGTACTGAAGCACATACCCTCTATAATAATATAAGCAAGCAAAACAAAATCCATAAATAAACAAATACAGCTGGAAGTGGTGGCTCACGCCTGTAATCGCAGCACTTTGGGAGGCTAAGGCAGGTGAATCACTTGAGTTCAGGAGTTTGAGACCAGCCTGGACAACATGGCGAAGCCCTATTTCAGCCCCTTGGGAGGCTGAGGCAAGGAGATCATTTGAGCCCAGGTTGTGGAGCTTGCAGTGAGCCAGATTGCACCACTGCACTCCAGCCTGAGCAACAGAGTGAGAGCTTGTCTCAAACAGAAACAAAAACAAAACAAAAAAACAAAAAGTACAGGTAAATGAATATGGTCAGAATCTATTTTTTACTTCCTGTATCTATATCCTTTGCAATGTGACTTCACAAATGTTCCCTCAAAAGGTGACATCTGTTTTCTTCTCTCCTTGCATAAGGGCTGTCTTTGACTAGGTGGTAGAGGCAGACAGGAAGTGAGCTAGTTCTGAGTCTGTGCTTTAAGGGTCCTTGTGTGCTTTTGCTTGACTTCTTAGAATTCTGCTCAGCCACAATGTGAAGAAATCCAGGCGACCCTGCTCCTTACATGAAGCAGAGATCAGTCATTTCAAAGCTGAGGTCGCTCTAGACCAACTAACCTTAGCTGATCCAACAGCAGATAGATGGTAAGTAGCACAGAAGCGTGCAAGGCCCTGAGTATAAGGCTCTTTGACTAGTACATAGCACACCACCTTCCATGAAGTAGGGGCTCAATAAATACTCACTGAATGAATAAGTGTTGTTCTTTTGCTTAATCTTCCACTTGCACATAGAATAAAACCCAAACCCATACCATGGCCTACAGGGCTTGCGTGATATAACTCCTGTCCTCCAACTTACAACTCATCTCACACTCCTTTCAGCCACATACTTCTTTACCTTTCCATTCTCACTTCTGAAGCTTTTTGTTGTTTACCCTGCCTGTTTGTGTAGTTGGAACCACATCATGACCCTATTCTCATCTTGAAAAGCAGAAAGTCATTCCCAGTGATAAGCTCAGTACAGCAAAGCCACTCCTTGGTCAATATCATGTTATTTTCTTTTCTTCTTTAGACATCTTCTTAACACTTATCCTTATTAAAACAATCTTGTTTCTTGTCTTATTGTTTTAGTATTTGTATCTTCTATTAGAGTGTAAGCTCATGAGAAGAAACTTTTTTTTTTTGGTTATCTTCACTATTTCATAAACTGCACTTTAGCACTTAGACCAGGAAATAACACTTAGTAACAAAAGTACGTAACAAATAAATGAACAAGCAACATCTAATTTCCCCAACTGATAGATGAACAAAAACCCAATATCCTTAATTAAGTATTTTCTGGATTAATTATTGCTATAACCTCTAACATCAGAGATTGTTTCTGTAACCTAAGCTTTTAAGTTACATGCTCCCAACCCTCTATTATCATTGCATCAAATAAATTAAAAGAAAAAACCCCTTTAGAGCAAGATAGACTAGAGCAGATAAGAGTTGTCAACTTAATTTTGTATGATTAGAAGAGGATAGCCAAGTGGCAACAGCTTAGCAAAACAAAAACCATGACATTTTGCTGTCTTGTCGGAAGATAGAAAAGAGAAAACCAATTTATGCAGCAGGATCTATTAAAAGCTTCATAACTAGAGGTTCCAGATGCCTTTAAACGATTGTGGGATGTGTGTGTGTGTATGTGTGTGTGTGTTTGTGTGTGTGTGTGTGAGAGAGAGAGAGAGAGAGAGAAACGGAGAGAGAAGGAAAGAGGTATAAAAGCAGGAGGATTAATTAACTATGAGTGTGAAGTATAAGAAGTAGTTAGATCCCCAAATTTTCTCTCTAATTTCCCACCTAGTGAACGTCTCCCACTCCAACAAGCCTTCCCCTGTACACGTTTACTGTTTAAGTAAAGAGAGAAAATTTACTCCTTTGCAATGTTGAAGCTAAGATTCTCTAAATTTGGGGACCGTGGGTACAGCAAAGAGTAAGAGTGAGATACTCTATTTATTGATTGAAAGCACATCCATAATGGTAAGAAACAAGTCCCCTTCCTTGTTGGCTTTCAGAATGCTGAGTTAGAGTTCTGTCTCTAAGATTAAGGGTTGGAGGAGCTCTTTTGGGAGAATTTCAGCAGCCCAAGAGAAAATAACTACTCTTATCAAATCAAACTATGCTTAAACACATCAGTTAATAAGGCTTGAACAAACAGTTTCTAATCAGCTTTTTATTATCACACGCTAAAATATGAACTGGCAGCCAATAAATAGTTGACATTTGACCAAAACTTCTAGCATATGAGACAGATCAAATAACCAAGAATAGTCTCAGAGGAGAAGAGATTGATGAGGGAGAGAACACAAAATATTATTTAATTCTATAGTAATTAATTTCTTCAGATGAATACTAACAAAACAGAATAGTTTTTTTGTTTTGTTTTGTTTTTGTTTTTGTTTTTGTTTTTGAGACCGAGCCTCACCCTGGAGTGCAGTGGCATCATGTCGGCTCACTGCAACCCTGCAACCCTGCAACCCTGCAACCTCTGTCTCCTGGGTTCAAGCAATTCTCCTGCCTCAGCCTCCTGAGTAGCTGGGATTACAGGCACCCACCACCACAGTCGGCTAATTTTTAGATTTTTAGTAGACACGGGGTTTCATCATGTTGGCCAGGCTGGTCTCGAACTCCTGACCTCAGGTGATCCGCCCGCCTCGGCCTCCCAAAGTGCTGAGATTACAGGCGTGAGCCACTGCGCCCGGCCAAGAATAGTTAAAGAAAAAGGTTACTTGTAGAAAATAAGAAAGACCTTTTAGTAATAAGATAGTACAAAATAACTACAATAATAATTTAAAACAGAAAATATTTAAAAATCCATTGAAATTCAGACAATTCAGTTGGGGAAATTTCCCCAAAAGGAGAACAAAAAGATAGATATAAGTCAATAAAACAGAAATATAAGTTACTGGAGGATTAGATCAAGAGATTCACTATCCAGCTAACATAAGTAAATACATAGAAAATGGAAAGTGGAAATGATGGACAAGAGATTAACAAAAAAATTAGAAAAATTTTTAGTATCACAAGACATGAGTTTTCAGCTTTAAGAATAATTAGCTTCATTAGTCATTCCACAATGTATATACATTTCAACCATAATGTTGAACATGAAAAAATAAGATATATGTATATATAAACAAAACCAAAAATCTAATTATGAAATTTCAAAACATCATAGAGCAGACATTAAAAATTCCAGAGAGATGAAAGAGGTCAGAAATCACAATGCTGTCAGCCTTCTCGACAAAAAAACTGAAAACTAGAAGAAAATCGATAAATGTTTTTAAAATTCTCAGACGACTAAATTTACATGTAAAACCAAACTATGAATAAAATCATTTGCATATACTGTGAATGCACCCTTTCTCAAAAACTATTCGAAGATCTACTCTACCAAGGTAGGAACATACCTCAATTAAGAACAAGACATGGAATGGGGAAACAGATAGTCCAACACAAGAAAGAAACATAGGATCTTAAGGTAAGAATTGATTGATTCCCAGGATAACTGCTGGGCAGCAGGCTTAGAGGGTAGTCAGCAGTAATAGAGCAGAAGGATGCAAGGTGCCAGGAGAAAGACTTCTTAGTATGTGTTACCATTTTGAGAAATGTTACAGAGTTTTAATACAAATGTAAGGCTTAAGTCATAAGAGGTCTATTGAGAACTAAGAAAAGTATAAAAGTGGGTAACCTGTATTGGCAGGATAAAAGGAACTGGAGAAGAAAAGAAATGTAATCGTACTTTGCTCAGCTATCACCAATATTAACAGAATTATAATAATGGGAACAATGATCATTAACAAGACACATGTATTATTATATTCAGAGGACGGGAGAAGGCAATGAATGTTTGTCGAAGAGAAGGAGTAGTGAAAAAATCAATCCTCACCTTATACAGTAACCACAAAACATACATAATTTTTATTTTACATTTTTTACAGATTTGACAGCCCCCCCATCCCCAACTCCCCTACCCTTGACTGTTTGTCCTGGGGTATGCTAAATGTGCAGGTTTATTTAGTGAAAATCAATCAAAGACACAATTCATCTGAGACATTGCATCACAGATGCACATGCAGGGACTGATGAAAATGCTTCATGCACTGTATTTATTTCAATTTTTCACAATCTGTTGAAATATAGCTTGCTAATGAGGGACAAGCACTTTGACCATGCTGAGGTGGGTGAAACATAATAAGCATATCATGTATCATGTTGCATACATCATGCACTGTAAGGTAACATCAATAAATCACTTATTATGTATATCTGCCTGTTTCAGGCCATTGTAGCCATCCTGTGCAAAAAGTCCATACGTCAAGTGTTATTTTTAAAAAATGAGAAATAACTCTATAAAAATGTTATCTAGGAAGATCAAAAAAAAAATTGTGTGAGCTAGGAACCAGTATAGGAGTAGTATGGGGAATGAATATTCTGTTTTACTATAAGCTTCGTAAGGACTGCTTGACTTTTAAAAAAATGTACATGTATTGCATTGAAAAAAATTAAACGAAATAAAACCAAAGCCTTTCTCTTTACCATATATAAATTATTTTGTAATTAAGTGTTAAATGTGAGCATGCTTGTGCTCACCTACTTAGAAGTTATCAAATACATGTATGTTTGATTCAATCTCATATTTCAATTCAGTATATTTTTCAAACTGGGAAACTAAGGGAGCTTGCCAAGGTAAATTACCCTAGCAAATATACATTTGACACATCACATAATATTCTAAACACCTCTTATATCTGTTATTTTTTAAATTATGATAAACAAAATCTTATTAGTAAATTTTATTACCAACATTTTAAACCTCTCCTGATCTAGTGATCTTATTTCAGTTATATCTGACACAATTTCAATTTTAACAAAATAGTAGTACTTATCATTTACTCCCATCACAATACCTTAATAATTTCTTGTTAGTTTTAATGATTAGCTAAGCTCATGAGCATTAAATATAAATTACATTACAAGGTTCCAAAAGCAGGTAAAAATTATCAGCAACAAAAGTAAAGGCCCAAATGGGAATTAAGCAATATCATATTTTTCCTCAAGTATAGGAGTATCTTTAATTCTCTTTAGACTTGATATAATGAGGTAAACTCTATACAAATAAAAAGTCTCTGAAGTTTCCTTTTTCTATAAAACTCACACAATATAGAATTCTCTCCAACGTATTTAAAAACACATACTTTTATAGTATGGGATAAGCACATGGCTCTTCTGAGAGTAAAAGATAATAAAATGTAAGGTATTATTTGAAAAAAAATGTGCCTAACAAAATTTTTCAAATAGACTACCATAAATGATATATATCCCCTAAAAGGAAATAATATGGTATCCAAAATTATAATAAAATAGAGGTTTATAATCTGTTGTTATAAAAAGCCTTAAATAGGCTTCACCAAGAAATGTGTACTATTCAATATGTGAAGAAGGATATATATTTAAAAGTAAATACACTAAAAGAAAAAAATACAATGTAAATTGCAAATTTCTCGGTATGTATATATCACATTTTTATGACTCTGTATGTGAAATTAACTCAAGCCACCTACTGTATTGACTTTATTGATGGTAATTTCTTATCAACAGCATGAACAACTATGTCCATTATTCAAAATGTCAGTGATAAGTCAAACATGGAAAAATAAGACTACTGGCCCAAATATCATTTTCTTTGGCTTTAGTTTTACTTCAAACATTGTATAGACCAATCCAGTAAATGAAAAATAAATCCTGCAGGCTTAAGAGAAAATAACACTCTTTCATGTAAATGAGAAATTTCCTTTGGAGTAGTAGACAGCAGAATAAAATATTGATAAAAGCGGGGGTTCTAGTTTGAGCAGACCTGGTTTGGGATTCCAGCTTGACAAGTCTCTACCCATGCACACTTCACCACTCTTATTTCTCATGGCCTAGTGCTATAATTCTGAACTATATGGACAATAATAGTAACCTGCTGAACTCTGCTGTGTCTGTTGAACAACTGAACAATAGCAATGGGGCTATTTTATATAGTGTTTGGAGTAACAAATTAAGCATTTTATGAAAAGCACTTATAACCTAGTGCCTGTCCCTATAGCATAGTGGAGCTAAGTATATGTCAGTAATCTAAATTGTATTCAATATTGCTATATGCAAATAAAGTGTATGAGAACATTACCTTTTATTTGTCCTAAGCTCATTCTCCTTCAAAAAGATCACAGATTAAAATTTTGATTTATTTGGAATAGAGTTATTAATTTTTTTAAATTTCCAATTAGGAGTTGCAATATTATTTGATTATTGCATAATTTATACAAAATAACATTTAGCATCTATATACACACAGACAGTGACATACATATATTAACACAAAATCTCAGCACTCAGGCTGGTGTAATACTCTTCTTCAGAGGCTTGTTAGTGATTTATAAAGTAACTTAAGCATATTTAAGTAATATTTACTCAGTGGATTAAGCAATACATTTTGACTCATATCACATATTTATTCATGTGTTTAATACATTAACATTTATTGTGCATGCACAGGGTGCCACACATGCATTGAATATAAGGAAAATATGAAGACAGAGTTTGCAAAGAAAGCAGGGTATAAAAGGAGATTTATAGAAAGAAATAATCGGCAGAGGTATATGGAACTTACAGAGACAGCGGACAGTGTTACTTCTGTCTAGGAGAATGGAAAGTGTCTCAGTGTGATGTCATGTTTTCAGCTAAATCTTTACAGATAAGTAGAAAATTTTATGCTCGATTTGTTGGTGGCTGGAAGTAACTGTAATAGAAAGAGAGACTAAAATTGGAAAAATTATGGAAACCAGAAAAAGTGAACAGTATAATTGGAGAATAACTCAGCATACATATTATTACAAAGTGGCAGAAGCTGAGATTGAAGGGGTTGTTAATGGTCATACATTGAAAGGCCTTAAATGCCCAACCAGATATTTTAGAGGTGGAAAAGATAATTGCCTTTTCCTAACACTGGTGGGCTTACAAGACCCCCAAAAGAAATATATGTAGAGATACAGAGAAACAGTGTAATTTACTTAAAGAATTACATATAATTCAATATTTGTGATATATAGACAATGAGGTGAAGAATAAACTAATATACGTAGCCAGAATATAGCTTTGCATCTCTGAGAAATATGGTGTTTTAGCACATAAATGATGGTATCTTAAATAGGGTTTATTGGTCGCAAGCAACAAAAATTGAATCTGGATAATTCATCCAGAAAATAAACTTGTTGAAAGAGATTGAGAAGTTCCTAAAATTGCTAAGAAATCTGGAGAACTTTTGTTGAAGGAGAATAAAACCAATGTAATTCTTGGGATGTGGGTCCCAGGTACTTACAAAGAGTCTTGCATACTGACTCCCGAATAATGTAAAGTTTAAGTCATTGTTCCATTTAGTTCATTATTCAAAGTAACAGGAGTTGTTTTGAGTAAACTACCTAGCTAAGGCCACTAAGCTAATCCTTTGAGAATGCATTCTTGCTTATTATTTCATCAAATTACACAAAATGGAGATGATCGTCTAAAACAAAATTGGCAATCTATTCCAATGAAATGAGAAATGAATGTTGATTCCAGAAATTAGCAAATTTCCATTAAGGATAGGAAATTATTGTAAGCTTTGAAACAATTAAATGGCATGATCAAATTTGTTTTTAGATGGATGGCTGTCTTGCATGGATCAAGAATAGAAAGGAAGAGTACACAATTTCTAGGTATTCAAATTGTCAAATGAAAAGGTGATGATTTTTACCAAGACAGTGAAAAAGATACAGCTATCTTGTGACATCTTTGAAATAAATAAATCTTAAATTACATATCAAAAATAATTTATTACTAAATTCTCGATATTTGCTTACTTTTTCTTTTTTCTGTAAAGAACAAGTAGAGGAATAAAATAATTTCTATAATAAGATTAATAATAGGAAGGGTAATTATATTTCCATTGTTTGGACAATATATTTAATTCTGTCAAAGCTGTGCCAGGTTTACAAAGAGTTTGTCAACTTTATTTTTAACAAATGTAGTTATATAATTTGAAACAATTATATAATCCAAACCAACTTTATATTTATTTAGATGAAGGTCTATTTGACCCTATTCCATATTGTAACACTGTCAAAATTATAGTCTGTGTTTTGTTGAATTTTAGATATGTGAAGTTTAATGAGGTAGATGTTAAACTTTTTTTAATATAAGGACTCATATGTTATATTTAGATATCATTGGGAGTAATTTTATCATTCAATTTGTAAATACTTTTTAAACTTTATAATATTCAGTGTTAACATTCATGGAATAATATTTTGTGGATTAACATTTAAAAAGTGAAAATTTGTTAGGGAGAAAATATGAAATAATAATTTTGGAAAAGCTTTATTCTTGTAGAAAGTTATTTTATAATATTGCATACAGAATAATATAATGTATAATGTTTTTCAAAAAAAGTTACAAATAATCTGTGTTAGGCAGAATCTAAGAGGATCCCTAACATTTCCCCACTTCCTGGAACTTACATCTTTGTACATTTCCTCCTACTGAGTGTAGGCTGAACCCAATAACTTGCTTCTAATGGAATATAGCAAAAATCATGGGATATTACTTCAATATTAAGTTGCAGAAAGTTTGTAACTTCCAATTGGGATGCTCATTTTATTTCACTCTCTTATCTTCTATGATCAAAGCCAGCTGCCATGTCAGTAGATGTCTAATGGGAAGTCCCATACATAAGGAACTGAAGACTGCCTCCACTTAGTAGCAAGAGAGGAACTGAACCACTCTGCCCAACAATCCTCAAGGAAACGGATCCTGCCAACAATCAAGTTACATAAGCTCCAAAGCCTAGTCTGTCCCAGGTAAGCCTTCAGATAAAATAGGAGCCTCAGCTGAGATCTTGATTGTGGCCTTTTGGAATGCATTGATCTAGAGAAACTTCAGTAACCTGTGCCTGGGCATCTGAAGTAAACTATGAGATAGTAAATGTTCATTGCTTTAAACCACTATGTTTTGGGACAGTTAGTTACTTAGCAATAGGAAACTAATACACAGATATTTGGAGAAAATATTGTCTCATAATTTTCTTTACATTAAAATGATGTTATACTTCTGTATATTTATAGAGATAAAAATATGGTATCTATACTACTTCTATATTAACTAAAAATTGTTTTGACATGATGGAGATACAATTAAATAGTCTTGGATTATTAAAATAAACATGCTTTTTCAATAACTTTCACGTTTCTCCTTTATATACAAAAGCTTTTGCTTTATCAATAGCTTTGCTTTTACTTTCAGTTTTGTTTAACCGTGGAAAACACTT
Source organism: Homo sapiens (assembly GCF_000001405.40). Classification (NCBI taxonomy): domain Eukaryota; kingdom Metazoa; phylum Chordata; class Mammalia; order Primates; family Hominidae; genus Homo; species Homo sapiens. Next base: position 55,233,324 of record NC_000010.11, read on the forward strand.
TTCGGTGTATGTTTAACTGCAAAGTTATTTCTACCTCACAATAATTAGATGCTTTACTGCTAAACTGGTTAGTTTTTAGAGATAAAACTTAAACTATTTTTAGATTCATAAAGCACATGAAGAATAAGAAATTATAGTAAATGCATGAGAGTTTAGACATAATATAATCAATATCTCTTTTTTGCATAGACATGTGTCATAAGGATAAGAAAAATAAAGTCAACTTCATAAAATGCACTGATTCATTTTTTTACTCAAATATTTGAGTAAACTTTACCATTTTTTTCTCCTAACAATCTACCAGATTTGTGCTTTTCTAATCTCCTCCCTAGATATGCAAATTATAAAAGCACAGTGAAGAGAGAGAAAGTGTGGTTTTGACACCTTACTATGTTGGTTTCATGCCTTCATGAGCAATTCACCAGATGTAAAGCATTGGAATGAATAAGATAAAAGCAACATAATTATTTCCTTTATTTTCTTATGAGAAACAATATACTATAGTGCTTTGTTTCTCAACCATTAATAAATAAGATAATGTATACTGTTATCCACAATGAGACCACCCCCAAAAATGATTGTGACAAAATGAAAATAAAGAAGATGAACGAGTATGGATGAAGCCAATATTAAAACTTCACTAAACACAAAAGCTCAGTCTCACTCATCTTATATTACCTGAAGGCTATGTTGATAGCTATGTTGCGAAGAGGTGGGCAGGTGAGGATGGCTTCATCAGTAAGTATTTAGATGTAGTCTTTACATATACACCCTTCCCCTCTTGACACGCACACCCATTAACCCACATATACACACATCAAATTAAAATCTGAATGAAAGAGCTCTGAGTTTCAAATATTAAATCAACCAAGTGTAATAGGATTCCACAATCTAGAACTTGTTAATAGTTGAAATCTAACTTTTCTTTGACATGAAAGTTACAGAAATATTGTGGTGTTGCTACCAAATACTCAAAAACAATGTTTTGTAAGAGCAGATCTTCATATTTAAATTAAAAAAAATTAAATATTCATTTTTAATGAGTTAATATGAAAAATTTAATGAACCAATAAGTACAGATTTGTCATTTTTTTTTTCTTTGAGACAGGGTCTCACTCTCACTCAGGCTGGAGTGAGTGGCACAATCATGGCTCACTGCAGCCTCAACTTCCCATGCTCAAGTGATGCTCCCACCTCAGCCTCCCAACTAATTTTTTTGGTTGGGTGGATTTCTTTTTGTAGAAATGGGGTCTCACCATGTTGCCGAGGCCATCCTCAAACTCCTGGCCTCAAGCAATCCACCTACCTCGGCCTCCCAAAGTGCTAGGATTACAGATGTGAGCCACCATGCCTAGCCAAGATTTGTTATTTCTATTGAGATTTCTGATAAAACATGTATTTTGAGACAATAAAATTCTAAAATATTTGCCTAATAGAATCACACTTTTTTATTACTCATGAAGTCCACATAATTTTACCTAATTATTACAATGAGAGTGGTAATAAACATTAGTACATCGTTCATAAATATGTCAAAAGTTTTATATATTATTTTTATTATCACAGCTGATCAAAGTATATATTATTATTTTTCTAATATAGGAAAATGGTAATGCAGTAAGATTCCATAATTTTTCCAAAATTTACAAAAATAAGTTAAAAATCCATAATGAAAACCCTGCCATGTACAGCCACAAAGTCTAGGTTTGATATACCACCTCAATATAAAAGTCACGAAATCCAGTTTTAAGTCGGAAAGAAGTGAAAAAATAAGGAGTTTGGCATTTTAACCAAATTTTAAAATATATCAATTTCTGCTTTCATATTATAATAATTTAAATTAGCAACCACAGTGGAATTTAACAATTTTATACATGGGTAAGTCAAACGAGGACATGAAAGTCATTATAAAATGGATAAATTTATGTTACCAGTTAGACTCAGTCAAGTCCAAGACCCTCCTTTTTCTTTCTCTTTGCCTCATATTTTCTCCTAGTAAAAATTTCCATTCGTAACTTAGTCCTTTGATTCGTCAACCCTAAAAAATATGGAATTATCTTCCAAGCTGTCTTTGTACTTTATAAACCACTGATTTACACCTTAAAAATCTTTTATTTGTCTACTTTTCTTAAAGTCCATACATTCTTCCCCAGAAAGTTCTCATTCAATAGAAACTAAATTTAAGATACCGTATTATGCTATGAGAAGAGTTCTCATTCTTCCTAGCAAATGCAAGTCTATGCTCACATTGCCCAAACTTCACATTCACCCAGGGACCATAAGGAACAATAAGAATCTTCTGGCCAGGAGCGGTGGCTCAGGCCTGTAATCCCAGCACTTTGGAAGGCCGAGGTGGGTGGATCACCTGAGGTCAAAAGTTCCAGACCAGCCTGACCTATATGGTGAAACCCTGTCTCTACTACAATTACAAAAATTAGCCGGGCGCGGTGGCATGTACCTGTAGTCCCAGCTACTTGGGAGGCTGAGGCAGGAGAATTGCTTGAACCCGGGAGGTGGAGGTTGCAGTGAGCCGAGACTGCGCCACTGCACTCCAGCCTGGGCGACAGAGCGAGACTCCATGTCAAAAAAAAAAAAAAAAAAAAAAAAAAGAATCTCCTTCCATTTTCTGACTGGAATGTTAGTTTAAAATTTAAAGTATAGATTACCTTTAATGTAAAACTGCTGGAACACAAAGATAATAGAAAAAAAGACATTTGAAGTCTGGATCACCTTAGTCTACCTCCTCTTTCTTTTATTCTCTGTCCTGCTGTTTTTTTTCTTAATTTGAAAGGTAGTTATAATATTCAATAACATGCAGTGTTTCTGTTGAGTTTGAATAGCTTGATTTAAATGAAGTATCTAGCAGACGTCTTGTTGCATATTAGATACTCAGTAAATGGTAACCATGAGTATTATAATTAAATAAGCACCTTCTTGCTCTAATTGTACTGGAAAATGCCTCTTCAAAATTATTCAATTCAGACAAATTAGAAGGAACATTAGAATAATGTCTACAGAAATATTCCCTGGGATGTGGTTGAAGGTAAACTGAGTAGAACAAGAGACCTTTCTGAAAATACATACACTTACACCCTTCACCATCATAATACAAGTGGTTTGATTCTTAATTGCTCAGTTAATGAGGTGAGCAACAGGAAGTGTGCATTTAATGAGATATACTAATTTTCAAATATTGAGCAATTTGTGCCTTATTAAACATTAATAGAAATGCCCATATTGCTAATCAAATAAAATATCATAAAAAGAAATGAAATTCTTCCACAAATTAAGTTACAATTCTACATTTTAAAGGCAAAATTCATTCTGTATTTTGAAATAATACTGAACATTCAAAAGTTGGCGTTTTCCTATTAAATGTACCTAGCTTTTATATGAATCAAAACTATACATATGATGGAAAATATTAGCTATAAGTGTACATCAACATTAAGAACATTATATTTATACAATTGGTAAATCATAGTGCATTACTATATGTTTTAAAATACACCACATAATTCTGATAAATAATAAAATAAAATACTAATATAATTGATTGCTGTAATAATTTAAAAATATTTGCAGAAATAGATTAGCTTGGTAGAAATGTAATATAGTATTTCTATTCAAAAGTCACGTGTACGCATCACTGGATCTTATTTTGCAACAGTACTATAAAGAATTTGGGCTTAATAACATATCAAACAGGCTAGTGTTTGATGTCATTTTAAAAAACTATAAATTTATGTATTACTTGCAAACATGCAGAATCTAACAAATCATTTTCTCAGTAATTCATTTCTTTTTAACATTAGAAAAGTTTAAAACTTTGTCAGGTAAACAATTTTTTAGATAGACTTTGAGGGATGAAATCGGCTGCACAATGCACTATATTGGTAGAGCTTTTTATATATTTGGTTTTCTGACCGCTGGGATTTCTGTGTTGAAGAAAAAACAGCCCCTTCTTTTACTTAAAGACAGGTTATGAGCTAATTTGTATTTCTAGCTCAGAATTCTTGGCCATTTTTACTCACTCTTCATGTGTATTTCATATATTATCTTTAAAACTAACTTTAACTCATAAAGAATACAAGAAATTCTAGAATTTGAAGTATCTTTCAGTCTTTCCATTTTACAAATGTGAAAACTGTGTTTTAATGAATTTAAATTACTTGGTCAGTCACTCATACTGTTAGTAGGAGAGATTTCAGTAGATTATCATTATTTGTGTTCATTACAATGATTTCCTTCTTAGTGCAAAGAGATCATTCTAAATTTGATGCTGTATAATTCTCTATATTCAGAAATTTGGCTACTTACCTAAACATCAAACAGGAACTATTATTATTGCACAACTTTTAAGGGCAACCTGATTGGATGATACTTATTATGCCTTATTTTTTTCCTCTGAAATGTTATTTTGTTTTAAACCAAAAAATAGAAAACCTTGGTAGATTGAATGCATTCTGTAGATATTTAAGAAATATTTTCAATGTATTGGAATTCAAAAAAAAAATGGAACATAACAACACATTATATAAACTATTTTAATATTCAGGATGTACAATATTAAATTATAAATATGATCTTTTTTCTTGATGAAAATTAAAATGACTAAAATTTAGCTTTTAGTTACCACTTTGAATACAAAAGAGACCGTACAAATTCAAGTCTTTTTATCATTTGAATTTAAATACACAACCTGCAGTGTGTTAAACTGATAAACACTTAAAAATTATATACGTGATTTTTGACCTGAAATAAGATTTAACTTAAAAATAAGCTTTAGTTTATCTATAAGACTTCATGCATTCATATTTTCTTTTTTTTTTTTTTTTTTTTGAGACGGAGTCTCCCTCTGTCGCCCAGGCTGGAGTGCACAGTGGCGCGATCTCGGCTCACTGCAAGCTCTGCCTCCCAGGTTCACGCCATTCTCCTGCCTCAGCCTCCCGAGTAGTTGGGATTACAGGCACCCGCTACCACGCCCGGCTAATTTTCTTGTATTTTTAGTAGAGACGGGGTTTCACCATGTTAGCCAGGATGGTCTCGATCTCCTGACCTCGTGATCCGCCCACCTCGGCCTCCCAAAGTGCTGGGATTAAAGGCGTGAGCCACCGCGCCCGGCCGCATTCATATTTTCTTAAGGACCATATCCAATACTGAGAAAATTAAGTGCTAATTAGTTAAGAAAATAAAACAATTTTTTGAATAAAATATATGGTTTAATGTTGAAACAATTGACCTTGAATCAACCAATGATAGCCTTTAACAAGACCACAAAAGTCTCATTTATTAAACAAAAGTGACACTTCTAAATTACTTTGGGCAGAAAATAATTTATTTTTATTTCCATTTTATTTTTAAGTTCTTGAATCACTTTTTTCTCTTAATTTATATATATTTTTAATTTTTATGGGTACATAATCATTGTATGTATCTATGGAGTATATGTGATGTTTTCATACAGGTGTACAAGGTGTAATGACCAAATTAAGGTAACTGGGGTATCTATTGCCTCAAGCATTTATCACTTCTTTGTGTTAGGAACACAAAGTACTTTTGTAAGCACAATTCCACTCTTTTAGTTATTTTAAAATATACAATGAATATTGTTAACTATTTTATTCATTCTATATATTTTTTACTTATTAACCATTTCTACTTTATTCCCCACTCCCCACTACCCTTCCTAGCCTCTGGTAGCCAACAGTTTACTCTTTATATCCATGATTTTTATTTATTCTCATTTTTTATTTTTAGCTTCCACAAATGAGTAAGAATATGTGAAATTTGTCTTTCGGCTTGTGCTTGGCTTATTTCACTTAACATAATGTCCACCAGTTCCATCCATGTTGTTGCAAATGACAGGATTTCATTATTTTTTATAAATTAATCATATTCCAATATGTATACGTACAACATTTTCTTTATCTGTTCAACCATTGATGGACCCATAGACTGATTTCATATCTTAGTTATTGTAAATAATGCTGCAATGAACATGGTACTGGCATAAAAGTAGGCACATAGACACTTGCAACATAATAGAGAACCCAGAAATAAATCCACACATTTAGCAGTGATCTCATTTTTGACAAGGGTACCAAGAACTTACACTGAGCAAAGGATAGTCTCTTTAATAAATGGTGCTAGCAAAACTGGATATCCACATGCAGAAGAGTGAAACTAGACCCCTCTTGCCATATACAAAAATCATATCAAAACTGATTAAACACTTAAATCTAAGACCTTGAACTATGAAACTAGAAAAACACTGGAAAAACATTCCAGAACATTTTTCTGGGCAAAGATTTCTTGAGTAATACCTCACAAGCACAGGCAATCAAACCAAAACAGACAAATGGGATCACATCAAGCTAAAAGCTTTTGCACAACAAAGGAAACAATCAGCAAAGTGAGGAGACAACGCCTTAGAAAAGGAAAATGTTTGCAAACCACTCATATAACAAAAGATTAATAAGCAGACTATATAAGGAGCTCAAACTATCTAATAGGAAAAAATAAAATAATCTGACTATAAAATTGGCAAAATATCTGAATAGACATTTCTCTAAAGAAAACATACATATAGACAAGTATATGAAAAAATATTCATATCAAAAAAATTCTAATCAGAGCAATGCAAATCAAATCTACAATGAGACATCACCTCACCCTAGTAAAAATAGCTTTTATCCAAAAACAGGCAACAATGAAGGATGTGGAGGAAGCGGAACCCTTGTACACTGTTGATGGAAATGCAAATTAGTATACCCACTGTGAATAACAGTGTGGAGGTTCCTCAAAAAACTAAAAATAGAACTACCATATGATCCAGAAATCTTACTACTGCATATATATTCAAAAGAAAGGAAACTGATACATCATAGAGATATCAGAACCTCTTGAATCTTTCTTCATTTAGTCAATATTACAAATTTGTATTTAATATACAAAGTAGTATGACATGTCTATACTCTATCATTGATTCTAAATAATTTTGGAATTTCATCACCCTACTTTTATCTACTCAACAATTGTGCCCTCTACCCCAACCAACAAAATTATTGTCCATTTAAAAAACCAACAAATTAAATAATTATGCATGCTAAAATATAAACTGCTGTTATTATTTTCAGAATTGTGTTTAGTCTTGCAACATCTTGACATTGTGAAACACCTAAAAATGAAACACATAATGTATTACTAATCCTTCTTCCATGCTTAGATGATTTCTAAAGACCTATCAATACAATAGATGTAAAATAAATAGTTTTGAAAGATGTATGAGTGCATGCAGATTTCTTTTACTGTTCTGCAAAACAGTTCATAATATGTTTCTCTGTTTCTTACTGATGTTTTTATGACAGTTCACCAGAGCTCTTGCATTTTTAACATGTATCCTTATTCGCCTTATTACTATACTTTTATTTTTATTTTAAAATAAGTATGTATTCACAAAAATTGACAAAAATAATCTAGTGTTTCTTATTACCAAGCATTCTTCAAAAGTGACACATTCAAAATTATAGTGCACTCTCAAAACCAAAAAATTGATTGTTATAATGCACATCTAGAATTGAATATTCATTTTTATAAAAACTGTTTTAAGACCGGGCACGGTGGCTCAGGCCTGTAATCCCAGCATTTTGGGAGGCCAAGGCGGGCGGATCACGAGGTCAGGAGATCGAGACCATCCTGGCTAACACAGTGAAACCCTGTTTCTATTAAAAATACAAAAAATTAGCCAGGCGTGGTGGCACACACCTGTAGTCCCAGCTACTCAGGAGGCTGAGACAGGAGAATCGCTTGCACCCGGGAGGCGGAGGTTGCAGTGAGCCGAGATCGTGCCACTGCACTCCAGCCTGGGCGACAGAGCAAGACTCCATGTCAAAAACAAACAAACAAACAAACTTCTAAAATATGGCTCTTCAGCAAAAACTATCACTGGTTTAAAATTTTCTCATTTATTACTGCATGCTTATCTATCTTCCTCATTAACCTGCAAATGTTGCTGATTTGAGCATTTATCACCATTAAAATTAAGTTATTTTGAACCACATGGTAGATTTCCCTCTCATTTTGAATTTATTTATTCTTTGTTAAATGCCCTTTCTTTTCTTTCTCACTCTGTCGCCCATGCTGGAGTGCAGTGGTGTAAATGCAGCTCACTGCAGCCTCAACCTCCCGGGCTCAAGTGATCATCCTACCTTAGTCTCCCGAGTAGCTGAGACCACAGGTGTACACCACCGTGCCTGGCTAATTTTTTTGTTAATTTTTGTAGAGACAGAGTGTTACTATGTTGCTCAGGCTGGTCTCAAACTCCAGGGCTCAAGCAATCCTCCTGCCTTGGCCTCCCAAAGTTCTGGGATTGCAGGTATGAGCCACCACGCCCAGCCACTTTGTTTAATTTCTGGACCTTCTCATAATCTTATTCCTTCTATAATTGCCTCCTTCTACTTCATTTTCTTCATCAAAAGCACAATTTCATTCTTATTTTACCTGGATTTCTATTCTGTATATCATTAACAAGAAAATAGTATTCATTAGAAACCCTAAAACTTTTCTGAGTTAGAACTTATCACAAATAGATTCAAAACTCATAAAACGTGTTACCAGTGTTTGTCTCTGCATGAGAGTGAAGTGATAAAGATTATGTGGTTTATGTTCTTCATTGGTTTATTGAGAACACATAATAGTATTTTTGTAGATAAGCCAAGATAATCCATAATATATATGGAAGTATATAATAAAACATAGACTGCACGTGCACATGACTAGTGAGGAGGCAGAGTGATTATATGAAATTTTAATAAGTCCAACTATTAGAAAGAATGTTATTTCTTCTTAGTTTCCAACCACTGGTGTTGCTTCAGTTCAGTGTGTCAGTTCCTATGGGTAGCTGCAAGCATATATCAGCTTGAAATGATTATCTTTCTCTCTGTGCAGCCCACTTCCTGCTTGTATGTGCAAAGATATTTGAGAATGGATCAATCCCAACTATAATACTGTGTGTACTATTTAAATTGGATATAAATAGCTAATGAGACTCTAAGTTGCCACTGCTTTGCTTGTAAATTTATATTAGTTACAGAACTTTGAATCTGTTAAATCAGAGTTTTGGTTTCTACATAAGAAAATAGCCTTTTCTAAAATCAATTTAATGTGTAAATATATAGTTTTTGTGTTTGCTTTCCTTTCATTTAAATGAGAAGATAAAATCACAAACTGTCGGCCAGGAACAGTGGCTCATGTCTATAATCCTATTACAGCTTTTGAGGAGGCTGACAGGCAGATCGCTTGAGCCCAGGAGTTCAAGACCAGCTAGGGCAACGTGGCAAAACCTTGTCTCTACAAAAAATACAAAAGAAAAAAAAAGTAGCTGGGCATTGTGATGCATGCCTGTAGTCCCAGCTACCCTGGGGGTTGAGGTGGGCGGATCATCTGTGCCCAGGAGGTTGAGCCGTGATCCCACCACTGCACTCCAGCCTGGGCAACAGAGCGAAACTCTGTCTCAAAACAAAACAAACAAACAAACAAAAAAGGCACACACTGTTAGTAATTAAGTAATGATGAATTCACAACTTATAATAGGTTGAAGGAGTTAAAAATTAATAATGAAGACTGCTGGGAGAAAATGATTTGGAACATTTGGAATAAGTTTTAACAGATATTTTTTCTAGAGGAAATGGAATAGAGACCTTACAGAAAATTTTGCTTATAGATTTTTTTTCAAAACAACTTTCATTTATGATAGGAAATAAAACAACTAGGAGTAGGCAAAAAGAAAACAAAGAAACTTTGTCTGAAAAGGAAGTTTATTCCCCAGGATAGTCTATCAGTTAGCAGCTATGCTCATAATGAGCATAATACAGTGCATTTTCATATTCCATTGAACTCTGCACAGCTTCCCCCAAACACACAACAAATGAACAAGAGTAGAACTGCAGGCTTTTATTTAGTTCAATATTGCATAAATATTAAATGCAGACAGGGAATTGCAAATGGCAAAAGGAGACTCTACTGAATGTAAATTGTGATGAAAATACCATGGGGAAATAATGGTCCCAATTTGCTACTTAGAAAGAAAATTTATGTGAATAACAAGACCAGACTTTCCAAAAACCTCCATTTAATGGTTATCTACCACATTCTGTTGTTACAGAGGTTTTGTTGTTCAATTTCTTTACTTTTCCTAGGATGGTTCACATTGATGTTTCTCCTGGAGTGGGTTCTTACCCTATCCTAAAATGAAAACTACACATCTACTCAGTAGGAACCAGTGCATTTAAAGCCATATTGTGTTCTGTGACTAGCACAATGCAAGGACAAAATAAATGTTAAAAATGAATAATTAACTGACAATAATAATCAACATTCTGGCTTTAAAAGGCTCCCAGAAACAGTCTCTCTAAAGTGAGCTCTCAGTGTCTCCTTTATTTCCAAATTCAGAACAGCTTTGACTCAAATCACTGAACATTGGGCATGAAGTACCTTCCTGAATTTATTCCTTTGTTTAGAAGAAATCATCTGTATCTTATTGTCTCTCTGAATGCTAAATGTGAATGGCTACTTCTCACTTAGCTTGTCATTTGACTCTGTAAAATAATGTAAATTCGGGTTATAAGTGTTTCTTTATAAAACTTTGTAGTCTTGGATATATGTCTGGATTTTATATATTATATAAAATCATAATATTTTCTTTCAAAAAATCATTAATGTCAATTAAACATCTTCAAAATAAGAATATTCTGATAATTTGTCTTTAGTTCTCTTTAGAGACTTCTGAACCACATTGATCTGGACCAAAATGGAATGTGATGCACAATCTCATAGTTCGAAATGAAAATAAAATTCTACTTTCCATTTCCTTGTCAAATTGTTTTCTGTGTCTTGCACTGCACTACAGTGGAATTTTTGTCATTTCTGCTTGTCTTTTATTTAAGCTCATTCTTTAATACTTTTTTTAGTAGAGTGAAATATTTGCCACCTTCTCTAGTGTTAAAAAAAATAAGCTAGAATACTAACATGTATAGACCTCTAGAAATAATAGAAGAAAACAGTTTCCCCTCTACTTGAACCAATGTTCCCCAGAATATCTTTTCTAAATTAAAGGAAATACTGGACAAACATGAAAATTCCTAAACCCCATGTGAGATTTATGGAATTCGTATCTCTGAAAGAAGGGCAAGAAAATATGCAGTCTTCACAGTTTTCTGAGTTGTTCTGTGTGTAACAACTGAACTTATACACACACACACACACACACAAACACACTGAATTTCACCATCCTCCACCAGAATTTTCTAGTTCCTCACCTCCTGGTATTCTTGGGAACAACTGATATCAAAGCATTACAATATAATCTTGAGTTCCCAATGGAATTCACTAACATGAGATACATTAATGTCAGAATACAGGAATCCATTAATTTCTATTAGAAAATTATTTCCAGAATCTAGTATGTGCAGAAATGTAGCTGTTAATATAATCCAGGCAGCCATTTCATTGAAAAAGTCTGAAGAAAGTTAAATCACTTTATCGAAGATATGGTAAGTCTAATTTTTGCTGTAGATTAACATCCTTCCTAATGATGACCTTATTTTTTGCACCATTATTGTTCCCTTAAATAAATGATACAAATATTCTTTCTGTCTTCTATTCTGAAGGTTCTTCTTTTTTTTGAACCATTGCTATCTTTGAAATCTCACCAGTTTTGAGAAGTTACTCATGCAAAAGTTGAAAATCAAAGTGGTTTTGCATGAGTTTAAAACACAAAGCTGGTAGTCAAAGAAATCAATCACTTTTTAGAGTGTATCATGATGTGTAAAGCATAAAAATAGAAGTTACTGCTTCAGTTCTATTTTCTAGAAGTATAAAACATGAGTTTAAAGATAAATTCTCTTCACTTGTCTTCACTTAGAAACATTTGCTGTAATGTTTTGAAACAAGATCCTCAACAGAATTTAATAGAAAACAAACGTTGTAAATGTGAAAGTGGTAGAGATGGAAAATACAAAACAAAGTAATTAAAAATAACTCAAAAAAACAGAAAACACCCCCCCAAAACATCTTATATTACTGTATTATTGTGTTCTTAACTACCATTGAGCTATTGAAATCAAATTTCAATGTTGTATGCTTATTTCCATATTTTTATTCTGACCCAAGCTATGGAAATTCAGTCTTCTTCAACTAGATTAAAATTCAAACTGCCAGGTCATTCAGAAATTGCTATTCCTAGTATCTCTATTAAAAATGGATTATGTTCTTAAAATCCTTCAATGTTGGAGTATTTCTGAACCCTCAAACAGAGGCGAATACTCTGGTAATTACTTCATATATGTGGTGTCCAAAAATTTGCCCAAAATCCCAGAATATGTATCAGAAGAGATGGCACTCTAGTCAATATGATCAACCCTATTAGATCTAATGCCTGGCCCCATTGTAATATTTTCCCCAGCACTCTATGATAGATAGCATAACACGAATTTGTGAAGATTATTTTCCACTTCTCAAAAATGCTTTCCTTAGATCAGAGTAGACAGCAAATTCATACCAAAGCCTCAGAAAACTAAACCAAACAGTTCTATGCTGGCAGCCATGCCTAAAAGGCTGACTTAGGGCAGATGTGCACTTGGCAATCAGTACTTGGCTAAATTACTCAGTTCCTGGTGCCATGATAATACCAGTATCCTACACAGAGCAGCATCTGGAAAATCAATAAAGCAAACCAAAGTTTGCATCAATGGCCCAGAAATAGGTCTTTTATCACTATTTTGCTGTTCCAGCCAGTAGCTATTCATGGTGACTTTCTTCAATTAAGAGATAAGAGTAAGGACAAGCATAAATTTTAGAAGTCTCACCATAATCGGCTATGAATAAATATCAAGCTAATTGAAGATTTTTTTGCATGTAGTTTCTTTTCTCATCTAGGTTCTAGACTTGCTTTCACAGCACTCTGAATGATATCCAATCAGATATACATGGATATATGAATATTGTTGCTTTGAGAATGAAAGATAATATTGAGAATAAATACACGTTATCTGTATTAGGCAAAGTATATGAGGGAGGAGTCTGAATTACTTTCATTTTCTCAGCTAATTTTCCAGTGCCTAAGTGGAAAGGCTCAAGTTGCAAAAGAATAATGAATAATATAACAACAAAGCACTCAAATTGGAATTTAAAAGTTCTCAATTGTAGAAATATTGGATTTATGACCTAATGGGTAATAAATTCCAATTTAGGAAACTTTTGTTTCTAATCTAACTGTATTATGTAAGAAAAGAAAATAGCATTTCAAGGCAACAAGGTACGCAAGCCACTGTATGTACTCAGACTTATGCTCATGTGTATCAGGTGTCTTATTCATAAAAGTTAGAGATCATTTTGCAAAAAATCATTTATTACAGATGAACTTAGTGGAGAGGTTAAGACATTTGTAGGTTTATGCAGAGAAGATCTAACATTCTTTTCTTTTTAGTTATCATTGTTTCAATTTTAGACTAAAATTATATTTTCCTTGTTATATATTAAACTGCAGAGGAAAACAGCACAAAATGCAAAATATCCCCTTTGGTCTAAACTTTCAGTGCTATTTTTCTTCTCATATAAAATTATTATTTTTGCTTGATATGTAGGTCTCTGATCCTCTTTTTCTATGTTGATTAACATACATGAGTAAAAGTTTAAGCACAAATATGCAAACATAGATTCATACCTACCCCACATATTTATGTTTTACACAAATGAAGTTCTATTTTTGAACTATTTTTATCTTCTGTGTTTCATCAGTTGACACTGTATCTTAGAGTTTGTTCATGTTAGTTAAGGAAAATCTTTTTCCTTTAAATTGCTGCAATGTATTCTTTAGTTTAGATTTTTCAACACTTTGTTTAAACTCTCTCATAGTGGCCAGCCTATAGGTAGTTCTAGTTTTCATAATGGGAAAATAAAACTGGTGTAGAAATCCTACGTACATATTCTTATGTACAAGTAAGACTATTTATTTAATGTAAATTCACAGAAGTAAATGGCCTAGTCAAACAGGCCATGTTTATTTCCAATTTTGAAAGACAGCCAAATTTATATCTCAGAAGTCTCTGTCCATTTATACTCTGCAAAGAACATTTAAGAGAGTTATCCAGCATGTTATTTTTTGGGCTGGAGGTGGCATTTCTGTCAAACTGATAGCTGAGTTAAAGCAGTGCAACTTTGCATTTCTGTCAAACTGATAGCTGAGTTAAAGCAGTGCAACTTTTTACATGTTTATCACCATTATAATTCTTTTTTTTTTTTAAACAAAATAGAGGCTAGGTGTTGTGGCTCTCATCTGTAATCCCAGCATTTTGGGAGGCCGAAGCAGGTGATCACTTGAGCTCAGGAGTTTGAGACCAACTGAGCAAGATGGCAAAAGCTCATCTTTACAAAACATATACAAATTGGCCAGGCGTAGTCCCAGCTACTTGAGAGGCTGAGGTGGGAGGATTGCTTGAGCCACGGATATCGTACTGAGCCCATTGTGCAGTTCACTCCAGCCTGGGTGACAGAGTGAGACGCTGTCTGGAAAAAAAAAAAAAAGGAAAAATACATTTATAGGTTTTATTTTTATCCTATTAAAATGGAATACTTTTATAATTACTTATTTTGGGCTTTTTTTTTTTTTTACAAATAGTGTCACTACAGAAACTCATTTGTTTATTTCTATTTTTATATACATATATTTATATGTACAATTGTCTTTCACCTTTACACTTGTATTTGAATATATATCTTATTACAGAGGTTGGGGCTTTCTTAATCTTTTCAGTGAAATCTGTCCATTTTTTACATAGAGGTAGAAGAGTACTGTATCTGCTCAAATACATACACATATATATATACACACACAAATATGTATACATGTATAATACTATATATCAGATTTTATGATGTTTAGATATCATTTTGAAAAAAACACTTATTATACATGAACTTATAGAGAGGCTAATACATTTTGAGAGTTGTAAAGACAAATTTTCAGGTTTTTGCATTTTGTATCTGCCTTAGAAATATATCCTTAATTCAACTATTATAAACATATTCCTAATGTTTTCTTGTTATGTTTGTTTTACATTTATCTATTCAATTCATCTGTAATGTATTTTGGGGCCTATTATGAGATAAAGGCCAAGATGTATGGAATTATAAATGGATACGCGGATAAGCATCCAATAGATATGAATAAAAATATTTAGTATTGTAAAAATGTCCCCTTTTTTTTGAGACAGAGTCTTACTCTGTCCCCCATGCTGGATTTCAGTGGCCTCCCTGCAACCTCCACGTAGTTCTAGTGATTCTTGTGACTCAGCCTCCCAAGTAGCTGGGATTACAGGCCTGTGCCAAAATGCCCTGTTAATTTTCATATTTTTTGTAGAGACAGGGTTTTGCCATGTTGCCCAGGCTGGTCTCCAACTCCTGGCCTCAAGTGATTCCCCCACCTCAGCCTCCCAAAGAGCTGGGATTACAGGCATGAGCCACCATGCCTAGCCAATTCTTTCCAAAGTGATCTATAGATTTAATGCAACCCCATTCAAAATGTCAGTGATATGATTTAAAGGACTTGACAAATTGATACTAAGATTTATATGGATGAGGGAGAGTCTAGTACAGCCAAGTCATATTTAAAGACACATTTAAAGACAATGTGGGCATGTCATACCTTGTGATAAAAAAGTTGTAAATCTATAAAAAGACAGACTCATTTGGAAGTAGATAGATAAACAAACGATAAAATCAACAAACAGAGACACCAACCTCCGTATATATGAAACTTTATAGAGGCGACATAGTATAATCCGAGGGAAAAGCAAATGCAGTAGAGATCTTGTTGTTAGTGTGGGAAAAATGAAATAAAATGGATAATCATCTTACATAATAGCAATCATCTCTAGATAGATAAAGGACTTACATATTTAAGTCAAATTTTAAATTCTTGGAATAAAACATAAATTAATATTCTGACCTAGTGGTTGGAATGTATCACTAAAATATGACAGTAAAAGCACTAGTTATAGACAACATGCTGTTCATCTACCTATATGTAATTACAATTTCTGTTCAATATTTAATACTCTAAAAAGGGAAAGACAATACAAATTGGGAGAAGACATTTACAATACATGTAGCCAACCAAGAGTTAATGTACAACTTAGATGGGTAAGGAAAAGCAAAGACCCAGTAAAAAAGGGAAAATAAAAGTAATTATCAAACACAATCTGCTGAATATCCCAACAAGCAATAATTTTAGTATAAATTGCAATCTTCTAATTGTTGTATTAGTAAGGTGTGACATGCAACACTTTAATATGTAGTAGTAATAATGTGTCTAATATTTCCATGTAAAAGTTAACAAATATATGTTACACTTGGGAAAATAAAATAAATATTGTCATGTAATTATATATGTATCATATATATAAAGAACAAGTAATTAAGAAATTATATATGAATAATGGTTTTATTATGTCATGTTTTTTCTGGTTTATTCATAATTTAAAAGAAAGTGCAGATTTTAGACAAAAGAAAATTTCAGTTTATATTTTCATCTCTATTTAATTATATCTTGAAACAAAATATTTTGGTCATGATCTCTAGAAAAAAAATCACATTTTTATTAATTAACCCCAGTAATCCACTGGTGCATGGATATATAGATAGTTTGTAATGAAGTCTCTAGAGTCTAAAACAAATGAACGTAAATTTTAAAGAAGTAATTTTGTTTTTCTTATTCTGCTTAGACCAAAATTAATGGTATTTTAACTTAATTTATTTAATTTATTTATTTATTGAGACAGAGTCCTGTTCTGGAGCCTGGAGTGCAGGCTGGAGTGCAGTGGTGCAATCACAGCTCACTGAAACCTCAAACTCCCAGGCCCAAGTGATCCTCCCGCATCAGCCTTCCAAGTGGCTGTGACTACAAGAGCATGCTACTATGACTGGATAATTTATTTATTATTTTTTGTGGAGATAGGGTCTCACTTTTTTGCCCTGGCTGGTCCCAAACTCCTGGGCTACAGCTATCCTCCCTTCTCAACCTCCCAAAGTGCTACGATTACAGGTATGAGACACTGCACCCAATCATAATAATATTTTTAAAATATCAGTCAGACCCTTGTAAAAAAAAAAACTAGTCAATACCAAAATGACCTAAGAAATTTAAATAAATTCTTTTTTTTTTTTTTTTTTTTGAGATGGAGTCTCGCTCTGTCACTCAGGCTGGAGTGCAGTGGTGTGATCTCGGCTCACTGCAACCTTCACCTCCCGGGTTCAAGCAATTCTCCTGCCTCACCCTCCCGAGTAGCTGGGATTACAGGTGCCCGCCACCACACCCAGCTATTTTTTGTATTTTTAGTAGAGACGGGGTTTCACCACCTTGGCCAGGCTGGTCTTGAACTCCTGACCTCGTGATCCACCCGCCTCAGCCTCCCAAAGTGCTGGGATTACAGGTGTGAGTCACCATGCCCAGCCAATAAATTCTTATTGGTACTATTCCACTATATGTTCTTTTTGCTTTCTATACATATCATAAATATTAAATTATCAATATTACAAACAAATAATGCTCGGTAGGAAGTATTTATATTCCCTATGTTTGAAATTATCTTACTTGTTTCCATTGCACTATTATGGAGACAACTGACAATTCACATGCAGTTGTAGGAAAAAAATACACAAAGATCCTGTGTACCCTTTACTCAATTTCCCCAAAAGGTAAAAACTTGCAAAAATTATAGTACAATATCCAAGATATTGTATCAGTATATCGACATTGATACAATCTATAGGTCTTATTTAAATTTCCCCAGTTTTACTTGTACTCATTTGTGCTTGTGCTTGTGTTTGTGTATATTTAGTTTTATACATTTGTATCATATATGTAGATACATGTATCTACCAATATGATCAAGATACTAAATAACTATATCAGTATAAGGATTATTTTTATTGTCTTTTTGTAACTACATCCACATCACTGAAGCAATCGTACTCCACCCCATCCCCACCCCAGTCCTAAACCATGTCAAACAGTAATCTGGTTTTTCTCCATTTCTATAATTTTGTAATTTCAAGAATGCTATAGGAAATAATATAATATTTAACCTTCTAGGACTGATATTATTCATTCAGCATAAGTATGTGTGTCAATATTTTGTTCCTGTTTATTGCTAAGTGTCCCATTTTATGAATGTACCATCGTGTGTTTATTCACTTTTTGAAGGACATCGCCTATATTTTTAGTTTTGGGCTATAACAATGAAAACTGCTATGAATGTTCGTGTACAGGTTTTTCTGTGAACATAGTTTAAATTCTCTGTGATGAATGTCCACAGGTCCAATTGTTGAATTGTTAAAATTTAACTCTGATTAATTTTTTTTAAAAAGTTATTTTTGTCAGGATACACTAGGTTATGATGCAGTAATAAACAGTCATTTATTTTCAAGGCTTAACAAAATGATACACAATACATGTCCAAAGACAGTGAGTAGGACAGATCCGCTAATTGAGATTACTCAAGAACTAGGGCAAATGTAGGGTGTAGTCAAGGTTTACTTGTCAAAACAAAACAACAACAACAACAACAAAAATTGGCTACTGGTTCACAAATCCCAGAAGAAACCTGATATATTTCTGCTCCTATAAGTTCAGAAAGCAACATAAGGGAGATGAGGAAGTGCTCAAACAATATTTTTGAATAGCAGTAACAATCATTCATTGTCGACCAAGCTTTAAAAAATTATTCAGATTTATGTTTGTCATAAAATGATATTTGTTCCACCAAAAAGGTATAAACACTTGGTAGCATTTCCTCTCCTGTGACTAATGAGCCTTTTACAGAGTTATAAGCAAAATCCCCAAAACATTCAGATCCTGACAGAGATGTATTTTCTCGGGCAACAGATTACACCCTACCCAAATAGGAGTGCAAATAAAAAGCTGTAGCACATCCAACCATTCTTCAGTTATATAAATCAATACCTGCTATGTCTGTGCCCTAGATGTAATCCTGTCTTAGAATAAAGAGGTTATTAAAAAATGGAATATCCACTTACTCTTCCTTTTTAAAAAATATTTAATTATTATTTATGTTAATTTCCCAAATTATAAAATATTGGAACTGATCACAGTACTTAAATAGTTCTATAATATTTTCATCTATCCTTAGAAATCCAAAGTTTTTTTCCTATAATTAAGCAGTTAAGAAATATAATTCAACATTTAATTGAGTAATATAAACATTAATTAGCTGAGAAAACTCACGTTGAGGAGTCTAAAATATTAGTGAACCAAAAATAAATCCAAGGGCCAAGGGGGGTAAAGTGATAAAAACCTAGAGCAAGTTAGCTTTAAAATTTGAAGGAAAATGTTTCACTATATCCTCAGAAAAGGTAAAAGTCATCAATAAAGGAGACTAATTTAAGCTCAAAGGAATGAACACACACAAACACACACATTTAAACTAGAAGACGATTACAATTTAGTCACTAAAGAAACCTGTAAAATATATTTTAAAAACTGTCTAAAATAATGATATTCATCAATAAATATGTAATTTCAACATTCAGCTAAAGGAGAAAAAAATTTTCTAAAACAAAATAAATTTTTGTCCAATCATGTTTAGTTAGCATAGAAGGTCTGGAATGGTTGTGATGACATTTTATTAAATAAGGCAAAATTTAAGTATAAATATTGAGGGTCATGATACCTGTTTAATTTCTCACTATTATGAAGTTTCAATTATTTGTAGAGTCATGGTCTCCATCTAATGGATTCTAAACAATTCAACTGAGGAGAAAGACAAAGACAGAAACAGAGAGAATGGAGAGAGTATAGGGCATGGAGAAATAGAGAGAGAGTATGTGCGTGTGTGTGTGTGTGTGTGCGTGTGTGTGTGTGTGTGTGTGCATGCAAGTAAGAACTTAAAGTTTAACCAAACCAAATATTTAGTAGAAAAACATATTTCTTTCTTTTCTAAAAAGCTGAGCTGGACAACTCCTAAACCATCCTGTCGTTTCTCATATCTGTATAGTTTGATTCCTATGCTTTCTAAAATTTTACTACCTAAGTCTTGGAATTCATTCAAGCTTATAATTTAATTTGTATTGAATTACTAATTGTTATCATAGTTTAACTTTTTAAAGCAAATACAGGAATTGCTGAGATTTATTGAGAATGTAACTTTACTAATACAGAATGGGATAGCAATGTGCCATTGTGCATTTTAAGTGAACCATAATAAGTTTTTTTTTTCTTTTTTGTTCTAGGAGAATTTGAAGCTAAATTTCAGAAACATATAAACCTATTCTTGTAAAGTATATGGCTCATTCAGCAATGCACATAAAGCTGAATCACTGAAGTATGCTGATTGATCAATACAGTTTGTGGCTACATTTGTAAAATGGGTAAAAATTAAAGCATTTCACTATTTGGTTCAGTAAGTTGAGTGCATAATGGTTCAAACAGTATTTTATGCATTTTAAGTCAAGCACATTGTACACTGCAAAGTAGTCAACCGTGAAAACATTCAATGATTAGGTAAGAATATCAAATTTGAAATAAAATTAGTAATTTAGACAGATAATTACACAAAATGCTGGTGAGCCACTGAATTTCTTTTATATGTCTCTATCCTTTAAAAACGTTTAGTATCTCAGCATCTTTTATACACAGGTCTTCTTTGAAAGCTACTTGATTGTTACTGGTAGAAGGCATGAAAACGCATTTATTACAGTTGTAAAATTTATAACATATGATAGCAATTTATAAGTTTGATGCATATTGATGTAACTTAAATAACTAAAATCACGCTTTAAAAATCTGGTTATTTATATGTATGTCTAAAACCAATAGTTACTTCCAATACCAAGAAATTATAACATGGTACATAATAAGGTAGGTTTTTCAAAAGAGACTCAACTCCTTCAGTTGATTTTCTATGTGGTTATGGTTATAAAATGGATGTCTCTTTTGAGTGAGGGTTTTGGAAGAGGCTATTTTTTTAGGGACTATGGTTCAGAGACACCAAAGTTTCAATTACAGCAGCATCTAGAACCTTTGACCCAAAGGCTCTACCTGGAAACATTGGTAATAAGAGCAAGATATCTTTTCCAGTTGCAAGCTGTCAGTGGAAAGGTGAGTAACAGACCAAAGCAAAAGAGGATTCAATTGAACAGAAGTTTATAATCTTCTACTATTTGGTCAAGACAGGACATAGAAAAAAATATATATCAAGATTGCCTTTCTCAAGGAACCTACCATTTTTGAAGAAATTTAATCTTACCTACAAAAGGCAAAGCAATATGAGATATTAAAATATAATTGTAATTCCCTAATATCTGTAAAAGCAACAGGTGCTATGACATTTCATAAATGGGGGAGGCTTTGTGAAGCTTATGTAATTTGAAATACAAATAAGATTGCGAAAGAAGAAATGAGCAGCATCTGCAGGTCTTAACATTGCTATGGCAAGAAGACAAGAATAATAGAAGTTTCAAATTCAAGTTGTTTTGGAAACAGTTTAGTCAACCTTACATCTCATGTCATAGGAATTGTTTAAAATAATTCAGCTAGTTAGCTTAAGTCTTTTCTTTTTTTTTTTATTATACTTTAAGTTTTAGGGTACAGGTGCACAATGTGCAGGTTAGTTACATATGTATACATGTGCCATGTTGGTGTGCTGCACCCATTAACTAGTCATTTAACATTAGTTATATCTCCTAATGCTATCCCTCCCCAATCCCTCCACCCCACAACAGGCCCCAGTGGGTGATGTTCCCCTTCCTGTGTCCATGTATTCTCGTTGTTCAATTCCCACCTATGAGTTAGAACATGCGGTGTTTGGTTTTTTGTCCTTGTGATAGTTTGCTGAGAATGATGATTTCCAGCTTCATCCATGTCCCTACAAAGGACATGAACTCATCATTTTTTATGACTGCATAGTATTCCATGGTGTGTATGTGCCACATTTTCTTAATCCAGTCTATCATTGTTGGACATTTGGGTTGGTTCCAAGTCTTTGCTATTGTGAATAGTGCCACAATAAACATATGTGTGCATGTGTCTTTATAGCAGCATGATTTATAATCCCTTGGGTATATACCCCGTAATGGAACGGCTGGGTCAAATGGTATTTCTAGTTCTAGATCCCTGAGGAATCGCCACACTGACTTCCACAATGGTTGAACTAGTTTACACTCCCACCAACAGTGTAAAAGTGTTCCTATTTCTCCACATCCTCTCCAGCACCTGTTGTTTCCTGACTTTTTAATGATCGCCATTCTAACTGGTGTGAGATGGTATCTCATTGTGGTTTTGATTTGCATTTCTCTGATGGCCAGTGATGATGAGCATTTCTTCATGTGTCTTTTGGCTGCATAAATGTCTTCTTTTGAGAAGTGTCTGTTCATATCCTTCACCCACTTTTTGTTGGGGTTGTTTTTTTCTTGTAAATTTGTTTCAGTTCATTGTAGATTCTAGATATTAGCCCTTTGCCAGATGACTAGATTACAAAAATTTTCTTCCATTCTTTAGGTTGCCTGTTCACTCTGATGGTAGTTTCTTTTGCTGTGCAGAAGCTGTTTAGTTTAATTAGATCCCATTTGTCAATTTTGGCTTTTGTTGCCATTGCTTTTGGTGTTTTAGACATGAAGTCCTTGCCCATGCCTATGTCCTGAATGGTATTGCCTAGGTTTTCTTCTAGGGTTTTTATGGTTTTAGGTCTAACATTTAAGTCTTTAATCCATCTTGAATTAATTTTTGTATAAGGTGTAAGGAAGAGATCCAGTTTCAGCTTTCTACATATGGCTAACCAGTTTTCCCAGCACCATTTATTAAATAGGGAATCCTTTCCCCATTTCTTGTTTTTGTCAGGTTTGTCAAAGAGACAAGATGGCCGAATAGGAACAGCTCCAGTCTACAGCTCCCAGTGTGAGCGAGGCAGAAGACGGGTGATTTCTGCATTTCCAACTGAGGTACCGGGTTCATCTCACTGGGGAGTGTCGGAAAGTGGGTGCAGGACAGTGGGTGCAGCACACCGAGCATGAGCCGAAGCAGGGCGAGGCATCGCCTCACCCGGGAAGTACAAGGGGTCAGGGAATTTCCTTTCCTAGTCAAAGAAAGGGGTGACAGACAGCACCTGGAAAATCGGGTCACTCCCACCCTAATACTGCACTTTTCCAATGGTCTTGGCAAACGGCACACCAGGAGATTATAACCCGCACCTGGCTCGGAGGGTCCCATGCCCATGAAGCCTCGCTCATTGCTAGCACAGCAGTCTGAGATCAAACTGCAAGGCGGCAGCGAGGCTGGGGGAGGGGCGCCCGCCATTGCTCAGGCCTGAGTAGGTAAACAAAGCTGCTGGGAAGCTCGAACTGGGTGGAGCCCACCGCAGCTCAAGGAGGCCTGCCAGCCTCTGTAGACTCCACCTCTGGGGGCAGGGCATAGCCAAACAAAAGGCAGCCAAAACCTCTGCAGACTTAACTGTCCCTGTCTGACAGCTTTGAAGAGAGTAGTGGTTCTCCCAGTACGCAGCTGGAGATCTGAGAATGGACAGACTGCCTCCTCAAGTGGGTCCCTGACCCCTGAGTAGACTAACTGGGAGGCACCCCCGAGTAGGGGCAGACTGACACCTCACACTGCCAGGTACTCCTCTGAGACAAAACTTCCAGAGGAATGATCAGGTAGCAACATTTGCTGTTCACCAATATCCACTGTTCTGCAGCCTCCGCTGCTGAATACCCAGGCAAACATGGTCTGGAGTGGACCTCCAGCAAACTCCAACAGACTTGCAGCTGAGGGTCCTGACTGTTAGAAGGAAAACTAACAAACAGAAAGGACATCCACACCAAAACACCATCTGTATGCCACCATCATCAAAGACCAAAGGTAGATAAAACCACAAAGATGGGGAAAAAACAGCAGAAAAAGTGGAAACTCTAAAAGTCAGAGTGCCTCTCCTCCTCCAAAGGAACACAGCTCTTCACCAGCAACGGAACAAAGCTAGATGGAGAATGACTTTGACGAGTTGAGAGAAGAAGGCTTCAGACGATCAAACTACTCTGAGCTAAAGGAGGAAGTTCGAACCCATGGCAAAGAAGTTAAAAACCTTGAAAAAAAATTAGACGAATGGCTAACTAGAATAACCAATGCAGAGAAGTCCTTAAAGGACCTGATGGAGCTGAAAACTACGGCACGAGAACTACCTGACGAATACACAAGCCTCAGTAGCTGATTCAATCAACTGGAAGAAAAGGTATCAGTGATGGAAGATCAAATGAATGAAATGAAGTGAGAAGAGAACTTTAGAGAAAAAAGAATAAAAAGAAACGAACAAAGCCTCCAAGAAATATGGGACTATGTGAAAAGACCAAATCTACATCTGATTGGTGTACCTGAAAGTGATGGGGAGAATGGAACCAAGTTGGAAAACACTCTGCAGGATATTATCCAGGAGAACTTCCCCAATCTAGCAAGGCAGGCCAACATTCAAATTCAGGAAATACAGAGAATGCCACAAAGACACTCCTCGAGAAGAGCAACTCCAAGACACATAATTGTCAGATTCACCAAAGTTGAAATGAAGGAAAAAATGTTAAGGGCAGCCAGAGAGAAAGGTTGGGTTATCCACAAAGGGAAGCCCATCAGACTAACAGCTGATCTCTTGGCAGAAACTCTACAAGTCTTTTCAATTCATCATGCTGCCCACAATATGCTATAGAAGATTAGCAGTTAAAGTTGGACAGGTAAAATATGCCTAGATTT
Source organism: Homo sapiens (assembly GCF_000001405.40). Lineage (NCBI taxonomy): Eukaryota > Metazoa > Chordata > Mammalia > Primates > Hominidae > Homo > Homo sapiens. The sequence continues at coordinate 55,258,126 of NC_000010.11, forward strand.
TTGCTTGGATTTAATCTTATCATTGGAATTTGCTATAGGCTTTTAGAAATAATAGGGACATGAGAATTGGAGTATTTTAAGAAAACTATAATTGTTCCTAAAAGGGTTTAAGACAAATGGAGATTACTGATAAAATATTAATTAGTTTTTGAATGACCCAGGCATGAGCTTATGGAGAACTAGAACTAGGTAAGTATTAATTAACTCTTGCCCTACCCTAATGGAAGAATCATGGGAAGGAGGTGCAAGACACCAGAGGTGGCCAGCATATAAAGTCCTAGGATCAAATTTAAATTCCACATTTGTCCTTCAAGTTGCCTGCTTAGGTCTTGTCCAAGTGTACTTTTCTTTCTTTCTTTCCTGTTCTAAAGCTCTGAAACTTGCTTCAATCTCTTTTTCTGCCTTATACCCCTCAGTTGAATCTTTTTCTTCTGAGGAGGCAAGAATTGAGGTTGCTGCAGACCCATATGGAAGATTCAGTGAGGTGAGTTTGCTTTGTGCAGAAAGGGGATGCTTAGCATAATAGTATAAATGCTAAGTATAAATATTTATATTTCATATAACCACTGAATATTTAAGAGGAGATATTGTAACTGACCCAATAGTTTCATAGACAGGATTTTGTTTGTCTGCTTTTTTTTTTTTTTTTTTTTTAATAAACAGATATTGACCTTTCTGGTCTGAAAGATTGAAACTTACATTTGTTTTATCTGAGTACCTTCTTCAACTGTAACCGCAGGGCCTCTCAAAAAGTATCAAAAAACTGAAACTCATCAGATTATAGCATCCAGACAATGAGATGTCCCTCATTTGTCATGATTGCTTCCTTACTCTACCCAAGTTCCTGTTTTCTCATACATAGTTTCATTTCTTCCCTGCTATATAAATCCCCAATTTCAATTGGTCAGGCAGATGGATTTGAGACTGATTTCCCTCTCCTCATCTGAAGCACTGATTAAGCCATTCTTCCTTGGCAAAAATCATTGTCTCACTAATCAGCTTTCTGTGTGGCTAGCAGCAGGACCCAGATGGTACCCCTGCTGTATCAGTAACAATGTCAACTAGAAAGTTCAACACAAGAGTCTTTGCTTCAGGAGGTCTAGTAGTATTTGAAAAATGAGCCAAGAGATACATAAACATATAAAAGCTACTGAATGCATAGGACAAGAATAAATCTGATAGAAAATTATAAATTAAAAAAATTATAGACTGATCCCCAGTCTTGGAAAGGGAAAAGAAAATGGGAATGCAAAAGTGTATCAGAATCTAAGTAAAGAAAGTATTTCAAGGGACAGGGAGTGGTTAACTATGCCTAAAAATGGCCAGGCCACTGTGTAAGATGATCCGAAAGGCAATCATTTTATTTGGGAAAATGGAAGACTTTTGCAATTTTACTATCAGTCAACTGGTGAAAGACTCTTTGGAGTGAATTAAGAATAGGAGGAGACCTGAGGACATGCAGATAGCAAGTATACACATTTTAAAAATAGTTTAGCTAGGCTGGGCACAGTGGCTCACACCTGCAATCCCAGCACTTTGGGAGGCTGAGGTGGGCGGATCACCTGAGGTCAGGAGTTCAAGACCAGCCTCAACATGGAGAAACCCCGTCTCTACTAAAAATACAAAATTAGCTGGGCGTGGCGGTGCATGCCTGTAATCCCAGCTACTCAGGAGGCTGAGGCAGGAGAATTGCTTGAACCTGGGAGGCAGAGGTTGAGGTGAGCCGAGATTGCACCATTGCACTCCAGCCTGGGCAACAAGAGCAAAACTCCGTCTCAAAAAAAAAAAAAAAAAAAAAAAAAAAAAAAAAAAAAAGTTTAGCTAAGAAGAGAAAAACAGAAAATGTAAAGAACTAGAGAAGGATATAAGAAATCAGATTTTTGAAAGATGGTTAATGGTATAAGTTTGTTTTAGGCTAAAACAGATAATCCAATAAAGAGTGAAAGACAGATGGAGCTGGAGAGTTAATTTGAGTGAAACATTGTGGGGTCCAAAGCACAAATGGAGTGGTATCTGCCCTTCTCGGTGACAGTAAGAATTGTTTAATTGTTTATCCATTATATGTGAAAAGAAGCCAGAGGATACTATGAGTACAGATACTAGTGAGGAGTCATTTTCACCATGTTGGTACAATTTCATATTCTAATTTGATTATTTCTGTTTTCTTACTAAAAGGAAGCCAATGAAGAAGGAAGCAAATATAGAGGAGGAAAGGGGATAAAAGGAAGAATAATCTCAGAAAAGGAAGATAGAGATGCTGGTAAGCAAAAAAAGAGATTACCTATTACACATAGAAGTAATTTGTACATTATTTTCGAGAAGAAATAAAGTTTTCCAAAATTGATTAAAAGAAAACACAACTTTCAAATACTAATAAATTAGTCAAAAACACAAAATTTTATGTTTCTATTTTTATATCAATGTTTCCATGGAGTTAAATGGATATAGCTAATTTATACAATCTTAAAAAAAAGAAGATTAGTTTTACTGGTAGCTGACTTCATTAAAATATTCTTCTTAAGCCATTTGGGAGGCAAACCTCTAGGTAATATTACAGGATGTTAAAGTCATTTAAATACAAATAACGTATGCCATATTTGCATTTAACAAGTTAACCCAAGTTCATCCTACCTGTAGGGCTTTTAAAATGTTATAAAAAGAATAGATAAGCAAAATCTTTCTTTAAGTATTATACTTCAATTCTCAAAACTTAATGTGAAATGTGGAAAGACAAATGCCTTTTCTTTGATCTCGGTTGGAATTTTGGGCTGAAATCCATATTTGTACCTGATCTGTGAACTGTGTCTTGTATAATGAACAGATTCATGGTGAAATCCTTTGGGCTTGTTAGCTTTTTTTCTATTGAATAGTGATGCTTCTGGGGTAATGTGATGGTCCACAAACACCAACACTAAAAATGAAATTTTTAGATGGCTAAAAAACAAGAAACAGAACAGTGAAATAGTATACCTGGCCATGTTATTCTTTCCATGCAACAAATCAAAATTCTTTAGGCTTCATTTAAAGCAGCAAAAGGCAGCCTGATTAATTCAATGTATGCCTCAATGATCCTCAGCCAAACTCATGGTTGTGACATATGAAATATAATTGGTATGAGTTGAAATAGCCTGTCTTCTTTCAGTCTTTCATAATAATCCTACTGTGTTAAGGCTAACATTTCTTCATAATAATATCCCATTGATTGGTGAAATTTTGTACATGAGGAAAAAAGGGGCATGAAATTTAGGGCACAGCCATCATGTGTGGCCATTCTTGTACTGTTGTTTGAGTGATGTTAAAAGGGTAATCTGTCTTGAAAACATTTGATGTCTCAGGTGAACGCCTGCTACCCCCAGATTCACTATGTTATACCAATGTATTAGCATGTATTTGTGTATTGCATCTCCAGAAAGCCACCACTGAAATGTTAACCTGTTCATCAGTGACACTATTAAACAAATACATCCATATAATTATATAAACTTAGAGGAAATGGGTCAAGAATAACCCATTTTGATCTCCCGAGAATCATTCTTGGAAGGTTCCTTAGATGACTATTCTTAATTTCAAAAGTTCAAACAAATTTTGAAACCTCTATTCCCGAAAGAACAAATCTGAGATGGGTAATAAGTTTTTCTAAATCATATTTAAAAAGTAAATTCTAGACTTATATCCAGAAACTATGTGTGTCTTACGTCATTCACTATTAGATTGTCTGTTATTCCCTTGGAGTCAATGATTAAAAGCCAATTGTTATTGCACTAACAACGAAGGAAAACTTGGTCCTCAGAAAGCCAAAAACAAACATAACAAATATGGAAAGCCTCTAATTTCTGCATGTCATCTCAAATTCCATTTCACTGCTGGGAGAAAGAAAGAAAGAGAAGAAGAGAAAAACAAAGAAGGGAGGGAGGGAGGGAAAAAGGAAGGGAGGGAGGGAAAGAGATAAAGGAAAGGAAAGGAGGAGAGGAGAGAAGAGAAGAGAAATAAAAAAGAAAAGAAAAGAAAGATGAAGGAAGGAGTGTGAGGAGAGGAGATGGGGGGAGGGAGGGAGGGAAAGGGAGTGAGAAAGAAAAAAGGAAGGAAAACAAAAGGAAGAAAGAAAGAAAGGAAAGGAAGGAAGGAAGTGATATGGGAGGGGGGCAAAGAAGTCCTGGGTAGAGAAGGGCAGGTCCTTGGTGAGGGCTTCACACCTGGGCCTATGCCCATGGATCTAGTGACGACAGGCATTTCTGTTTTTGTGCCTAAATGTTGCATTTCCTAAGACCACCCTGGCCCACCATGCTTTCATCCTGTGCTTATAAAAACACTGAGACCCTAGCGGGCAGAGACACACAGGCGGCTGGATGCTGAGAGGAACACATCAGCAGAGGAACGCATAAGCGGCTGAATATTGAGAAGAACACATCGGTGGAAGAGTACACTAACAGGCACCAGCAGATGCCGGCAGGCCATCGACCAGCAGAACAATGCAGAGTTTGGCCAGGATGTTCTAAGGAGAGCCCGGCCACTGAGCAGCCCGACTCCAGGGAAAAACCACCTTCCCACTGCATCTCCCTTCTGGCTTCCCAATCTGCTGAGAGCTACTTTCACTCAACAAAACCTTGCGCTCATTCTCCAAGCCCATGTGTGGCCTGATTCTTCTGGTACACCAAGACAAGAAATCCTGGGGAACAGAAAGCTCTCTGACCTTGCAATAAGACAGAGGGTCTAATTGAATTCACTAACACAAGCTGCCTATAAATGGCTAAACTGAAAGAGCACACTCTAACACACGCCCATTGGGACTTCAGCTGTAAACATTCACCCCTAGATGCTGCTTTGGGGTCAGAGCCCCACAGCCTGCCCATCTGCATGCTCCCCTAGAGGTTTGAACAGTGGGGCACCAAATAAGTGAGCCACATCCCATCACATGCCCTGTGATGGGGATGAGGCAACTTTTCCTGTTTCGACTGGGTCTCATCCGGGATCCTGGAAGGTGAATACAAATGTGAAACTATAGAATCAGTCTCTGTTGTAAAACCCTGGCACTTCTCTCTTTTTCCTGCAGGTAAGAGGCTCTCTTTCCCTTCACGAAGTTTTAAACCATCCTAACCGGTCTGGTAAAAACTCCCAGACTTCACCTCTTTTCTCTCTTTTATGGTTTGAAATGGCTTTTATCTCTTCCTTTACAATGTTAAGGGATTTGCTACAGGCTGTGGCAATGTTACTAGGTAAAATGAGCATTTCGCTCAGCAGCCAAGGGTGCAAATCAGACCACCTATGCCTAGAGGTGCCACCTATGCCTCCACCCCAACAGCCGCAGGCATGCATGACTCAGGGCATCTCACCTTTCCCTTTCCCTTCCCAGTTCAGGTGCCTGGGCTTGTGCACAACTTGCAAAGCTCGCACCCAGCAGCCACGAGGGGGAGAGGGAGAAAGCCCTGGTGGTAGCCACAACCCCAAAGGGCCAATAGACGGGCTCTTCTCACCCACCAGGCCAACAGAATGTTTCTCCACTGGGGGAAGGATGTAAGGATTAGAGGGACTCACTTGCACTGAGGAAGAGGCTCTTTCCCCAGGATCTCCCCCTTTTGCTCTTTAAACTGTATTTTTTAATTTATTTTATTTTATTATTTTATTTTTTTGAGACGGAGTCTCACTCTGTCGTCTGGGCTGGAGTGCAGTGGTGCGATCTCGGCTCACTGCAAGCTCTGCCTCGTGGGTTCACGCCGTTCTCCTGCCTCAGCCTCCCAAGTAGCTGGGACTACAGGCACCTGCCACCACGCCCGGCTAATTTTTTGTATTTTTAGTAAAGACGGGGTTTCATCGTGTTTGCCAGGATGGTCTCGATCTCCGGACCTCGTGATTCGCCCGCCTCGGCCTCCCAAAGTGCTGGGATTACAGGCCTGAGCCACCGCCCCGGGCCTGTTTTTCCTTTTCTAAGTGAGGGGGCTCCCCACTCCCAGCACTGTTTCTGATTGGGAAATTAATGCAGGAGTGACCCCTGCTGGCTGATAACTGCAAATTCGTCAGGGCTTATTTGAGACACTCTAAATGGATAAAAACAGCCCCTAAAATACCTTTTCAATCCGAAGCTCGATTCCAAGCTTCTTTTTAAGGGTAAGGCCCTAGAAAGAACAACCAGGTCTGAGGCATCCAAAGCCAGGCCACAGGCACAATATAAATGGGCAAGACCAATTCTTGCCGATTAAACCCCACCCCCAACCCCACAGAAGGAGGCCTTGCTTCATGGCATAAACAGGCCCAGGGAACTCACAGGTTGTTGGCAGCAGGAAAAACAGGAGGCATAGGTGAGGCCGGTCAATTCCTATTCTCCAGGTTTTCCCTGCTTCATGGGTACGTATCACATCAGTACTTATGGCCAGCACCTGCCAAGGTTGCCAGGCCTCAGGGATGCCAGGTGGAAGGGATAGGGAGGACGCTTGCTTTATCTCTTTATCACACCCTGGGTTTTCACTGAAAGAAAGAAGGAAATGAGGGACGCCTCTATTCCCTGTCTTTCAGAATCAGTAACCAGTTCTCTTCACCACCCCCAGCTTATACTCCTCCGGAGTGTGTCCTGAACCACTGGGACTGTTTTGACCCTCAAAATCTGAAGGAAAAACTCCTCATAGCCTTCTGCACAAAGGTTTGGCCAATTATGATTTACAGCAAGGAATTGCTTGGCCTCAGGAAGGAACCATTCATTTTGAGACCCTTTGGCAGCTGGAACTTTTCTATACATGTGAAGACAGATGGTCTGAGGCCCCATATGTGCAGGCTTTCTATACTTTGCAAGGCAATCCAGACCTTTGCCAACAGTGTAAGATTGACCCAGCCCTCCTGTTTGCTGTCTCAGGGAAGGCTGCAAGGGGCAAGCCCAGGGAATTAAAGATACAAATCCGAGGCACTCCCAGTTGAGAAGCCAGCTCCCACCAGCCCTGCTCCTCTGGGTCCACCCTGACTTCCCTATCCACTTTCAGCTTCTCACTTGCCCCCTCCTAGAAATCCTCACCCTAAAGAAGCCCCAGTCTCACTCTTGCCCCTCCAACAGATGCCCAGTAAATTTGGGACCAGTAAGTTCCAGGTCCTCTTCTCCCAATAGTACTTAAAGCAAATCAAGGGGGATCTTGGTAAGTTTCCGGATGACCATGATAGATACAGAGACGATATATTGTGATAGATATAGAGATGTATCTCTATGATATATATATATATATAGACATAGAGATATATCTCTATAATAGATATAGGGATAGATATATTGGGTGAAATTCTGGAATTTCACCCAAATATTTGAAATCTCCTGGGGAGACGTTATGTCATTTTTGAATCAGACCCTGATGGACAATGAGAAGCAGTACACTCTGCAAGCAGCAGAGAGATTTGGGGATGCACTTTGCATCACATATAGCATCAGGGAAGGGGGCAAATATTATGCAACTGGAAGATAAGCAGAACCAGTGAATGACTCTAAATGGGATCCCAGTGACAAGAAGGAAGACACTTTCAGGTGTTTATAATGGAGGGCTTGCACAGGACTAAGACCAAGCCACTCAGTTAGGCTAAGTTGTTCATTATCGACCAGGGATTTGCTGAAAACCCCACTGCCTTCCTGGAAAAGCTAAGAGAGGCCTTGGTAAAACACACCTCTCTATCTCGTGATTCAGTCAAGAAACAGCTAATCCTAAAGGATACATGCATTACTCAGGCAGCCCCTCATATCAGGAGGAAGTTCCAGAAATGGCCCTGGGACCAGATATACATTAGAGAGCCTCCTGAAGTGGCCACTTCAGTTTTGTACAATAGAGAAATGCAGACCCAAGAAAGAGGCAGAAGCTTTAACGACCATCCTGCAAGCCCTCAAACAGGGTGCACCTATTAACTGCTAAAGATACGGCAAAAACAGTTAGCTGTCTTCTAAAGTTTAACCACTCCCATAGAAGGTTTAATACCTTTCACCAGGGTGAAACACCTCAGGGTACAATGTTGCTGTTACTATATTTCACTTCTTGTCTCTGTAATCTTTGGCACTAAATTCTTTCCTTGTATAATACACATGTTTAACTCATGCATACTTAACCTTATAAAACTTTTTTTTTTTCTTCTCATGCCTAGAAGCCATAAAACTCCAAATGGCCAGGCAATTGGAGCCTTGGATGATAGCTCCTGTTTGCTAGAAACCCTTAGATAGACCCCTGGGAGGAATCTCACTGCTGTTCTCCCCAAAACAACACCCCCTGTCACCAGGAAGTAGCTTAAGACTAGTCATCATCCATATTTTAACAGCAGTTAGATGTACCTCTTCAGAGGGGGGAGATGACACAGGAGGGGAGCATGGGTAGAGAAAGGCAGGTCCCTCGTGAGGGCTCCCATGGGCCTGTGCCCATGGACCTAGGTGAGGACAGGCATTTCTGTTTTTGTTCCTAAATGTTGCATTTCCTAAGACCAACCTGGCTTGCCACACCCCATCCTGTACCTGTAAAAACCCTGAGACCCTTGCGGGCAGAGATTCACAAGCAGCTGGAGGTCGAGAGGAACACATCAGAGGAAGAACACGCGAGTGGTTGAACATCAAGAGGAACACACTGGCAGAAAAGCACACTGACAGGTACTGGCAGATGCAGGCAGGTCATCGACCAGCAGAACCACACAGAGTCTGGCCAAGGTGGTCAGAGGAGACCCCAGCCACTAAGCGGCCTACTCCAGGGGAAAACCACCTCTGTTCTTGCAATAAGGCAGAGGATCTAATTGAGATGACTAACACAAGCCGCCTATAGATGGCTAAACTGAAAGAGCACATTCTAACACATGCCCACTGGGGCTTCAGCTGTTAACATTTACCCCTAGATGCTGCCATGGGGTTGGAACCCTACAGCCTGGTTGCTTCCCCTAGAGGTTTGAGCAGCGGGGCACCACAGATGCAAGCTGCACTACCATCGCATGCACTGTGAGGAGGACAGAGGAACTTTTCCCATTTCAAAAGGAAGGAAGAATAAAGGAAGGCAGGGAGGGGGAGGGTAGGAGAAGGAGAGACAGAGGGGAGAAACAAAAAAAGAAAGAAATGTATACACATACACACACACATATATACATATGTATAGGCATTGTTAAAGATATACATATATCTACTTTTCTCTGTTTATCTAACTATTATCTATCTATCCATATATCTATCTTTAATGTTGAACCTCTAAAGATGAATCCTTAGATGTGTCATTGAAGCATTTACCTTAGTGAACAGCATTGCAATTTCAGATAATTGTTTCATGTAATTATTGTGTTAACTAAATTAAACTTTCAATTAATTTTTGACATTTAAGAGAAGTGTATGTCAGCAAAATTAAGTGCAGGTTAGCCAAACTAGGATTATAAAAACCAATTTGTCCTTTTTATCAACTTTTTATTTCACATTACACAAAATTCATGTTAGGTGCTTTTGTGGAGTGGTTTTCCAAATAAGGTGGTGGGAGAGGAAAAGTTGTCTTTGGTTTCCTACAGTAAAGTAGCCTATAACAATGTCCCTTTTCATATTTATTCAAATGCATGTTTTTCTTATTCAAAAAATGTCAAACAATATGTTTCAAAAATGGTTATGACTTCCTGCCTTCTTGTTTGGGCAAATACAAATAAAACATCTAAATTTAAGAAATAGGATTGCAGTATCTAAAACAAGTTGGACAATGAATAGAGGTTTTTGGGATTTCCTTTGGGGGAATGGAGGAAGAAAGTATGAGACAGGTTCCACAGAAATCAATGCCTAAAAATATATTGGTGTCCCAGACACAATTGAAATATAGTTGTCCAATTGTCATGTCTCACTCATCCTTAAAAAAATAAAGCAAACTTCAAGTTTAATCCTTTTTATTGTGTCTGAAATTGATTATGGAACAACTGAATAACTATGTGCTAGCTTGCGTATTGTTGTCGTGCACTGAAAGCATTTCATTGTTATAACTCTCCCTCAAAGTATCAATTAAGTATCACAAAAGTAATAAAGTAATTACTACTTCTGTGCTATTTGTATTAATTACAATTATTAGTACTGCTTTAGTCACTTTACTCTCACAGTTACCCGTTGAGTTATGTACTATATCATTTTACTTACAAGCTTAGAGAGAATAAATGATTTGCTCAAATTCTGCTAGACACTAAGTGGTGGAGCTTGAATTCAAACATAGTAATATCTGACTCCAGCCTTCTCACTCCCACCAACCCCACATATGTACACAAAAACACAAATACATACACACAAAATCACATACCAAAATATTTTTAACATACAGATTTATGAGATAATATGGATTAATTCTCAACATATCCAAAGTGATTTCAGTAAATTGCCATCTTAAAATATTAGGACTTTAACATATAGTTCATATTGTTGACAATGGTTGCTTTCAAGGAAATTAGCATATATGGAGGACTGGTGATGAAGAGTATGTTCACCTTTTACTGTATTAAATTCTTCTACAGTTCTTGAACATTTTATAGTGAATATATATTTAATTGTTACTTATGTAAAACAAACATAAAACAAATTTTTAATATAAAAAACTATAAGAAGTTTTGATGTGTCAGTGACCTAAGATTTTGGAATTATAAGTCACTAAAATTGAATCTAATACACAGTTGGCATAGTGTTTGCAAGTTGAAACCTAGCCATCTCTGGAAATATACCAGAATTCATTACTGAAGTGAAAAATTTTAATAGTGACTAGATATCAAGATCTCATTTTTTCTTACTATTATGGAAAGAAATAAAAGTAGATTAGATGGGAGACAAAATCTACTTAAAATCCAGCAGACATCAAAAACTTAATACACCATGATTAAGTAGGATTAATTCCTGGAATCCAAGGCTGGTCCAACATATGCAAATCAATAAATGTGATTCACCACATAAACAGAATTAAAAGCAAAAACCGTATGATCACCTCAATAGATTCAGAAAAAGCTTTCAACATAATCCAACATCTCTTCATGATAACCACAATCAACCAACCGGACATTGAAGGAACCTACCCCAAAATAAGAACAATCTATGACAAACCTGCAGCCAACACCATATGGAATGGGCAAAAGCTGGAAACATTACCTTTGAGAACTGGAAAACCACAAGGATGCCCACTCTCGCCCCTCCTATTTAACATAGTATTAGAAGTCCTAGACAGAGCAATCAGGCAAGAGAAAGAAAAAAAAAGGCATTCAAATAGGAAAATAAGTCAAACTAACTCTCTTCACTAAACATTTGACTCCATACCTAGAAAAATCCTAATGACCCCATCAAAATGCTGCTAGAATGGATAAAAGATTTTAGTAAGGTTTCAGGATACAAAAGCAACATACAAAAATCTGTAGCATTTCTATACACCAATAATGTTCAGGCTGAGAGGCAAATCAAGAACATGATCCCATTTACAATAGCTAAAAATAAAATAAAACATCTAGAAATACAGCTAACCAAGGAGGTGAAAGATCTCTACAAGTAGAACTGCAAGACACAGCTGAAAAAAACCACAGACAAAACAAAGAAAAGGGAAAACATTTTATGTTCGTGGATTGGAAGAATTAATATTGTTACAATGGCCATACTGTCCAAAGTGATTTTACAGATTCAATGCTATTCCTATCAAACTACCAATATCATTTTTCACAGTTAGAAAAAAAAATTCTAAAATTCATCTGGAACCAAAAAAGAGCCCAAATAGACAAAGCAATCCTAAGCAAAATGAACAAAGCTGCAGACATCACATTTCCCAGTGTCAAACTACACTATAAGGCTATAGTAACCAAAACAGCATGATACTGGTATAAAAATAAGACACATAGACCAATGGAGCAGAATAAAAAACTTGGAAATAAAGTTGAACAGTTACAACTATCAGATCTTTCACAAGCCTGACAAAAACAAGCAATGAGGAAAGGAACCTCTATTCAATAAATGGTCCTGGGTTATAACTGGCTAGCCATATGCACAAGAATGAACCTGACCCCTTACCTTTTACCATATACAAAAATTAACTCAAGATGAATAAAACATTTAAGTGCAAGGCCTCAAATCCTATAACAACCCTAGAAGAAAACCTTGGAAATACCCTTCTGAACATTGGCTTTGGCAAAGAGTTTGTGACTAAGTCCCCAAAAGCAATTGGAACAAAAACAAAACAATTGACAATGAGACCTAATTAAACTAAAGAGTGTCTGCACAGAAAAAGAAAATATCATACAGTAGACCGACAACCTACCAAATGGGAGAAAATATTCACAAACTATGCATCTGGCAACGGTCTAATATCCAGAATCTGTAAGGAACTTAAACAAAACAAAATGAAAAAAAAAACCAAATAACTCCATTTAAAAAATGGGCAAAGGATATGAACAGACACTTCGCAAAAGAAGACTTACAAGCAGCCAATGAACTTGAAAAAAATGTCCACCATCACTAATTATCAGAGAAATGTAAATCAAAACCACAGTGAGGTACCATCTCACACCAGTCAGAATGGCTATTGTTAAAAAAATAAAAAAACAACAGATGCTGATGACACTGCAGAGAAAAGGGAATGCTTATACACTGTTGGTGAGAATGCAAGTTTGTTCAGCCACTGTGGAAAGCAGTGTGGAGATTTCTCAAAGAGCTTAGAACCCCATTCTACTCTACAATCCCACTACTGAGTATGTACCCAAAGGAAAATAGATCATTATATTAAAAAGACCCATGCACTCACATGTTCATTGCTATACTATTCACAATAAGAAAGATGTGGAATCAACCTAGGTGCCCATCAGTGGTAGAGTGAATAAAGAAAATATGGTACACGTACACCATGGAACACTGTGCAGCCATAAAAAAGAATGAAATCATGTGCTTCACGGTGATATGGATGGCTCTGGAGGCCATAATCCTAAGCAAATTAACACAAGAACAGAAAACCAAATACCACATGTTTTCATTCATAAGTGGGAGCTGAACACTGAGCACACATGGACATAAACATGGGAACAGACACTGGTCACTAATAGAGAGGAAAGGGAGAGAGGTGGGCAGGGGGTGAAAAACTTCCTGTTGGTTACTATGTTTCATACCTGGATGCAATATATCCATGCAACAAACCTACCCATGAACCTCCTGTTTCTAAAATATAAGTTGAATTTTAAAAAAGACAAAAAGAAAAATCTAATTAAAAATATTTTAAAAATAATTTCTCCAATTACATTTTCAGGTACCTTCATGAATTAACTTATTACTTTTTGCCATAGAGAAAAAAAGGATTTTTTTCTCTGATGGTTGAAAAAGGGTAGTTTTACATCTTCTCTAATCAGATATGTTCTTAAATTGAAAAGAGAAAGGGCTATGAGCAATGAACAAAAATAAACATTGCAAAGGTGCTTTACAAAATTTGCTATTTTGCTATCAACATTTTCATATTTAATTAAAAAGACTAGTGGACCACACAATTTATTGTTTGTAGCTTCCAGCAAATACGGGACAGCAACTGGGAAGGAAATAGATTATTTTGAGTGTCAGGATCAGACAGATTGAAGCAGTGGTCACTCCTGTACTCATCAGCATTGTCCTCTTCCTACCTTTCCCAAACACTGTGGTACTAGGTCTTGGTACTCTGGCCTCTACCTTCCTCACCTGGGAAGGCTTTTTCTAAAGCTCAGACCTCCCCATCTCCAAGCAGCTTCCCGAAACTGACCTTTCTAAATTGCCTATCAAACATTTTCCCACAAGAGATGCAAATTTTCATTCACTAATTTTGCAAATATGAACTAAGCATCTCTTATAAAATGTTTTCTAAGAGAAAACATGGATAAAAACCTACCATTTAGACAGGAGTGACATATGGTATTTATCTAGAATAAAGAATTTATCTAGACTTATTATGCAGTAATAACACCTGCTGCCTGAAACAGAGAACGAAAATAAGCCACGAGTTTGAGGAAATAAATATACCTATGTGTTTTTTCTATATACCATTCCTTATACAAGAGTAGCACATAAGAATAGTAGGGAACTTAATAATTATCCAGAAGCTTATGCCAATTAGAGGACTAAATGAAATAATGTTTTGAATATTTCAATCTGAAAGTGAAGAAAAGAACAATCAGGATTGAAAACAAAACAACTAAGATTTTTTTTTAGAATATGGTTAAGTTGAAATGACATATTAAATTCTTACGTTGCCTTTCATAATAACTCATTCCAGAGTTCAAAGTTGAATATTTTTATTGTGCCTTATTTTATTTTTATTTATTTATATTTATATTTATTTAATTTTATTTTCTTATTTATTTTATTTTATTTTGAGATGGTGTCTCATTCTGTCACCCAGGCTGTAGTGCAGTGACGCGATCTCGGCTCACTGCAACCCCTGCCTCCTGGGTTCAAGCGATTCTCCTGCCTACGGACACACACCACCACACCCGGCTAATTTTTCGTATTGTTAGTAGAGACGTGGTTTTACCATACCGGCCAGGCTGGTCTTGAACTCCTGATCTCAAGTAATCTGCCCGCCCACCTCGGCCTCCCAAAGTATTGGGATTACAGGTGTGAGCTTCTGCGCCTGGCCTATCATGTCTTATTTTAAAATAAGAATTCAGTCTAAGAATTAGAAGGCAAGATGAGGTTGGACAGTTAAGGACATTAAAGAAAAAGGAAGTTTTATGCTTTCCCTCTTTTTTGCTTTACTTGGATGGATTTTTCTACTCACAATTCCTTCTCCCCCCAGCCTGTCTAATGCATTATATACTTTGAGATGTAGCTTATTTCTTGTTTCAACTCCCAAAATACTCCGAACATATCTTTACTGTGTACTTAACAACACTCTATTAAAGCGATGTGCTGTGTGTCTCTGTCTCCCCTATGAGACTATGAAACTGTGAAAAACGAAGGCAGAAATCTTGTTTATTCATTTTTATAAGCCCAAGCAGATTGTTGCACTGTGCCTGGTGATACTGATTTCAAAGTTGAATGAAAAACTGTGAAAGAATGTTCCTGGCATAGTGCATGTATCATATGATGTGTAAGTTTATTTCAACTTAGAGTGAGATAGTTTTTATTACTCTCATTTTATAATTAGAAAAATAATACTAAAATAAATCAATGACTTAATTTTTTTACACAAGAGTAAGTGGTTGAACAAAGATTTAAATTCTGGGTAATATGATTCCAAAACAAGTGTCATTTCAACATCTTACTATGCCTGCTCTAAAAGAAAAATGAATGAAACACCTCTTACCTAGACTTTGGTCAGGCAATGGCCATTTATTATTACTGCTTGCCTTTGATTTGTCAAGTGTCTTAATATAGGAGGTAATTAAGAAGCTATTATCTCCTATACAAAGTTTAAGAAACTATTATAACTGGTAGAATGATGACGAATTCCACAAACTAGAAGGGTGTATGTGGTGGGTGGGTTGGTGGGCAAGGGGGTGTGTGTGACTGATGTATGTTAACATTTCTATATATAGATATGTACCTAAGTAACAAAACAAATTATTTTAAAGCTGCTAAGTTATTATCACTGCTTGGGACATCTACTCACTATGTGAATTTACGCTTTCTGTTAGAACTTTCCTTATATATCAGTCACCCAAATTTAATTTATAGAGAGATGTAGAGAAATTAACTCAGTATTCTGAAGAGCTGTGTATATTCTCACGTACTTGAGGAAGAAGAAAATCACTTGCCAAATAAGCATATAACCTATTATATTTTTAGAAAATTCACAAACAATTTGAAACAACGATTTGGAAAGTATAAGAATCCAGGCTCAATAACAAATTAGTTAAGTGTAAAAGTTAACACCTCCCACACACACACACATAAATACAAGGCCATCCATGTAAAATTAATGCACAATGTGTATGTACACATGTATGTATGTATGTGTGTGTGTGCATATGCAGACAGTCTTTCTGAGTTATGTAGTCCTCATTATTACAGAATTTCCTCTTTTTGTCAGAAAACTCCCAAGAACATTTGTTCTAGTTGGTTTGTATACTGAGCCAAAACTTATGCATTGGAAATGAATCATGACAGATGCTGAAATCTCAACTTGCCAACACATTTGAAACAGGGTGTCCTCCCTCAGCAATACTGATTGAATAGACCCCAGAGAGATTCCACAAATACACCACAGGTGATTATGATGCATGGAATTAGCAGAATACCTCAGGATAGTGAATACTGCCTAAATAGTGAGGTGTTTTTTGTTTATTTGTTTGTTTGTTTTGGTCATTAAAGCATACTCTCCCTACACATTTAACTGAAGAGGAAATGATATTTTCTCTCTAGCAAACCTGTCCCCTGATTTGTCTACATATCTTTCCCAATGGGAACTAACCTTAAGAGAAAGCATAGGGTGTCCCATTCTCCTAGATTTCTGTTATTGCCTGATGACTCCATTTTATTCATTCATCAACCTGTCTGGAAGCTGTTTACTCTTCTCTCCTGCTTCTGTCCAGGAACCTTAGTCATCACTAAAACTAACAGCTTACCACTTTTTTCCAAACCTGCTTTTCTTATACCGTGTATTAAAAGCAGTGGTCCCCAACCTTTTTGACACCAGGAACCTGTTTCATGGAAGACAAATTTTCCATGGCGGAGGCAGGGGTGGGGACTGTAGGGAGGGTGTGGGTGGTTGGTTTCGGGATGAAACTGTTCCATCTCACATCATCAGGCATTGTAT
This sequence comes from Homo sapiens, assembly GCF_000001405.40. Taxonomy (NCBI): domain Eukaryota; kingdom Metazoa; phylum Chordata; class Mammalia; order Primates; family Hominidae; genus Homo; species Homo sapiens. Next base: position 55,274,808 of record NC_000010.11, read on the forward strand.
TCTCATAAGGAGCGTGACCTAGATCCCTTGCATGTGCAGTTCAAAATAGGGTCCCCGCTCTTAGGACAATCTAAAACCACCACTGATATGACAGGAGCCAGAGCTCAGGCAGTAATGCTCACTGGCCTGTTGCTCACCTCCTGCTGTGCGACCCAAGGGTAGGGACCCCTGCATTAAAGCTCAGTCCACTAAAAAATTATAGAGTCCCATTTCCTGCTGTTTTCTCTTTTTTTCTTACCATATTTCTGTGATGTTTTTATTGAATTACTGGTGTTTTTCAAACTGATCTTTCACCATTCTAACATATTCTGACCCCTCCATAAAATGCCTGATAATATATTTTTTCTTCAATTTTGCAATCTGTTTAATGGTATTTTTTCAAATTTATTCATTCATAAGAATTATTTATGTTATAGATGTTACTTTCATCAATCATAACTTTTGCTAATGTCTTCTCCTTTTTTATAACTTCTATTTCTACTCCCACTTTAGTGTCTCTTGATTATTAGAAGTTCCTAAATTTACTGCTGTTGAATTTATCAATTGCTCCAGGTATGATTTGTACTCTTTCCCAGATTTAAGAAATTCTTCCCAATATCTCTATTGCACATGTATCAATTTGTTCTTCTATAGTGTCTTCTCGATGTGCTATGGGTTTTGTTTTTTCCACTAAAATCTTCAAATTACATAAAAATGATTTTTTTTCATCCCAGTGCTATCCTTTTGCACTGATCTACACGATCTCTATCATTTATCCGTACTTATAAGAATTTGGGTTGGTATTTGTATATTCTTTTTTGTTTCATTGAACTTTTTAATTTATCTATACAATAATTTCACTTAGATGTAATCACTATATCTTTATTATAAATCTTGAAATCAGTAGGACTTGTCTCTCTTTTTTTTTTTTTCCTGTAGAGTATTTGTTTCATTTCACTCTCTGAACTTATTTACATATTGTAGAATCAGGTTGTCAAAATCCATGAAAAGTCTTTTGGGATTTAAAAGACTAGAATTCCATTGACTCTATTAATCAATTTAAGGCAAGTTGATGACTACACAATATTTATTCTTTATTTCTACCCAATAATGAGGTATATAATTATAAATATTTAGCTCTTCTTCAGGTATTTTCAATGAAGTTTTGTAATTTATTTTCATAAAATATATATTTTTCTAGGCATGTTATCATATTTTTGATATGTATAATGATTCTTATTTACTTAAGTATAAATTCTAACTTTAGCTGGTTAGAAAATGATTTTTACATGTTGATTTTTGCATTTAGTAACTTAAAAAAATTCGTATTAATTCCATAAATTTGTCTATGTGTTTTTTTTTAGTTTTCTACATCACGTGAAAATAATAAAAACGTAACTTTTTTCTTAAAAGAACTTACCTTTATTCCTTACAAACTCTTAAGATTCTCTAATATAATACGAAATAGAAGTAGTGACTATGGACATCCTTGATTTGTTTTGGATTATAAAGAAATACTTTCAATATTTTACCATTAAATATAATATTTACTGATAGGATCATTGTGTACAGGAATACATGGACTTTATGAATTTATGGAATTTTCATAGTATTTCTAATTTGCTAATTTTTTTCTAAATCATGAACATGTGTTTATATAATTCAAAATATTTTAAAATTTATTGAGTTTATTATATTTTATTCTCCCTTTTTTAATGCAATGAATTACTTTAAACAATTTTTTTACACTAAAGCAAACTTAAATTCTGGAATTAAAACCAACAAGTATACCTTTTTTATAACTTCTTCATTCAATATTTTTATATTATCATTAGAAATTTTGCAAGTGAATCTGTGATTTTAATTTCTTGCATGGTATTTATTATAAAATTTACCTAATTTTTGTTTGCCCCATAAAATGAGTTGAGGAAAATTTATTATTTTATTATTCTCAGGATCATTTGGTATAAAATTGGACGCATTATTTCCTTAAATATATAATATATAATATGATTTGTCTTATGACTAGAACCTTTTACTTACTGTTATGCATATGATTCCCATAAGTTACCCAGATTGGGAAGGTCCTAGGTTCATTTCTTACTTCCAATGAACTCAGGGCTCTCAAAGCAGAGGATAAAGCTTTCCAGGTTTTGAAAGAATTCTCAGTATGATCGTTGGTCTTTAAAGCTTTCTTTCTTGAGTGTTCCTGCTTTCACTTTGTTTGGAGGATCTACAGATTTCTTAATGTTATGTTAGCTCTTACATTTATTTAAAAAGATATGTTGTAAAATCTCCTACCTAGATTAGCATTCCAGTTCAGAGGGTCATTGAGAGTATCTAATCTGCTATACTATCACGACCTATATTTTTTCTGATATTACTTGATATTTTACAGTTTGATTAATATATATGGTCTTGATTTCCGGTTGACCATCAGTAAATAAGAGACACCAAAACAGAAATCTAAGTTTCTTTGCAACCCAGCCAGTCTTTTTTTCAGGTAGTTTATGATTAGTATATTAACTGTATATTAATTTAAAAGTATACTCCCTTAAAAATAACCCTGTGATTCATTATCTGTTGAAAAAGAGGAATGGTTTCTGAAATCTATCCACATTTTTCAGTTTGGGCAAGTTAGGGCTGTTATACAGTAGGCACACCTTAGTTCTTGTAAATACTTACAAAAATTTTTTCTTCCTGGATTCATTCTGAAATATATCGCAGAGTAGATTCAAGTAGTGAAAAAGAACCTGTACACCACTGTGATAATTCACCCTGCTTTCCTGGAAGCATACAAAACTAGTATAATGACAGACTGCTAAAAACAGCTAATGATCTAAGTTTGTTGTTGTTATTATATTCCCCAAGATGTACTGTAATGTAGAACTCGTCTCAGAGCTTGTCAGCTCTGAGATGATTTTTCTTCACTCTACTCAATATGTGCCTATAAGCAACAGCTCTATTATGCTGCTACCATTAGCAGAGTAATTAGGAAAGCTATCATGGTCTCAAACTCTATAAGTGTTTGAGACTCCGCCTCATAAAATGTCCATTAGAGGACAAATTACCACATTTTAAATAGAGAAAACAATATCTTGAAATATGTCTTTTCTGATCCCCACTGCCAATGTCTCAGGTTTTGTTTACTACTGTTTTTCATTATTACAGTCATTAGGACTAGCTAAGCTTGGAAGGAATCATGTTCAGAATATAATTTTTGAGCATTAACTCAACATTAAAAAAAGCCTTGTGGTACTTGTCTGAATGGACAGAAAAAGATACATCATAAACTACATGTCAATGCAGTCAAAGGTTATGAACAGATATGTTAATATGCGGTTGAGATTGCATTTAACACGTATAGTAGCAATCTCCATGGATAGCTTTGCTACTTCAAAGGAATTAAACAGAATAGTCATTTTTTGTCTTTTTTTGAAAGGGAGAGTAACATATCTTTTCATGAATATTAAAAAAAAGTTAAAAACCTAAAGAATCTTAAGTTGTGGGTAGACAGTTTATACATATATATTAATTTAGATTTTCATGTTTTATTGTAAATAATTATTCTATTTTCCTTTTTTGTCTTTCATATCTGTTTATATTTTCTTTTAAATAGAGACAAGGTTTCTCTCACTATGTTGGTCAGGCTGGTTACGAACTCCTGGCCTCAAGTGATCCTCCCGTCTCGGCCTCCAAAAGTGCTAGGATTACAGGCATGAGCCACCACATCTGGCCATATCTGATTTTGATTTACAAAATTTTAATAAGCTTGTTATGTTCAGACAATGATCAGTTTTATCCATATCAACAGTAGGATTAGCTTCAATAAATAAAGAGCTAAATAGTAATTAAGATAATTCATTTAACCAGAATCAGTAAGAATTTATAATTTGGATGGTTCTTATTTGAAATATGCATTTGTAAACTTTTAAAGAATATTTATAAATTGACAAGACAAATGAAAAATACCATTGAATCAGAGGATTATGTTTTGAGAGTTTCTTATTCTTACCTTCTCTCTCTTTCATTTACAATTTCTCAGACAGGATTCTGTAATTCCTGACAAACTGAAAAGTACCCAGAGTCTGAGCTTTCCTGATAGTGTACAAAGCCTCAGGCAAACCCACACTCTAAAACAGGCTGCTTCAATTTTATACTCCATTTAACACTTCATTTGATTCTCAAACTTCATTTTAGTCTGCAGTGTTAACATTCCAGCATTTACGTGAGTTGGGCAATAGGTGTGGATTCAATACTCCTGAAAGATAGTTTGGGCAAATCTAAGCTTCGATGCCCGAGATGAGTGAGAGCCATTCCGTTTACAACTGTGAAAATCTTACTTGATTTTTAAAACTAAGACCATAAAGTTACATAAAAGGGAGCCTAACTTCAAAAAGAACTGCAACTTATACTCTGAAAATAATGGGAGCATCACTAATAGGTGGTGCATAGATCATCTAATTGATATGCGATCTCTGAGGAGTTGTCAGAAAAACAGTCTGTGTAGTAGATGTGCGTGGAAATTACACAGATATTTAAATTCAGAAAAGTACAGCAAGGACACAAATTTTCAGCCTTTTTTGGAAAGGAGTGTGAGCTCTGAGAGACAAATATTGGAAATAAATATTAGATTTCCTTTGAAATGAACTTTGAGATTCTGACTTTGTTCTCTCAGGATTGCTTACATGTCTTCTGATTAGGCTGACTTGATAAGCGACCGGCATACCTACACAGGGTCCACACTTAGAAGAGCCTCATGCTTAGTTTAATGCTGTTTCATTGCCATCTTGAAATTCTTCAGAATTTTTTAACAAGAAGCCCCACATTTGCATTTTGTATTGGGTCCCAGAAATTATGTAATCAGCCTTGTTTCTGCTATATAATACAAATTGAACTTAAAAATAGCAATCTCCAAAACATCAATAGAAAGAGATATCATTTTTCCCTGGATTGGTTGTACGATTGACAGAAATGGGACTACAATAAGGACTGAGCCCATGAGTGATCATATTGAGGTCCTCATGGCTATTTAGGCTTATCAAAACAAAATGCTCAGCAAATACTGTTCTTCCTATTCAAAACCACAGTTTTCGATTTTCTATATTAACTTACAGTTTAGTTGGTGAGAGATGGCATTTTTTAATATTAGGAGCTTTTGAAGTTCTGTTTTCTTAAAAAGTAAACATAATAATATCCACCAGCCTATCAGGGTTCCACATAACATAAGCAAGATGATTTATTGCTAGACATTTATTTTCCAAAAGTAAGAATTCAAATAGCATCTCTTTGCCATAAAAGACAAGCAGGTGAACAAAAGTAATAGATGCAGCCCATTTGGCAAATTGAAATTTCATGATATAGAGAGAGCTGGGCAATCTCCTTTGGAAGAAATGTGAATTCAGTCACATATGTCAGTATCTCTCAATTGCTTGGACAAAGACAAAAGCTGTGCTATGGAAAGGATGGGGTTATTTTGATTCTTTTTTTTTTTTTTTTTTTTTTTTTTGAGACGGTGTTTTGCTCTGTGACCCAGGCTGGAGTGCAAGTAGTGTGATCTCAGCTCACTGCAACCTCCGCCTCCCGGGTTCAAGGGATTCTCTCGCCTCAGCCTCCTGAGTAGCTGGGATTATAGGTATCTGACACTGCACCCAGCTATTTTTTTTTTTTTTTTTTTTTTTTAGTAGAGACAGGGTTTTACCAAGTTGGTCAGGCTGCTCTTGAACTCCTGACCTCAGGTGATCCACCCCCCTCGGCCTCCCAAAGTGCTGGGATTACAGGCGTGAGCCACCGTGCCAGGCCTGTTGATTCTTTATAAGCTGTATTTGTTGAATAATGTTAAACAGGGAGATGTTGATTATATCTTTATCACAGTAATGATGATGTTCTATTTTTACTGAATATACTTTCTATGTAGATAGAGTCTAGTAAACCGCATTCACCTAGAAGAACTAAAACTAAGATTTATTTTATCTCTCTCTAGTTAAATTCACATTTATAAATTGTCCTTTTCATGACCACCTCAATGTTCTGCTTCAACTCAATATTAAACCATGTGCTATGAAATATTAATGAGAAAAGTCAGATCCATTTATATTTCATGCTGAAATGTAGCCAATTCTTCCATAGTGATAATACAATTACTGAACTGATTTTGAAGTGCATAATGGATTTTTAAAAGTTAACTTATCCATAATAGGCTGTAGCCAGATGTTATGTAAGATACTGATGGAGAAAAAAGACTCTAATACTATAGCATATTAACAGTTTAGTAAAAGAATATCTGCAATGCTATGCAGCCAATAAATGTGTAAAAAATATTATTTTCCCCCTTATGTTTGTTTTCTGTAGCATCACAAATGTAGTTTCTTCTTTTATCCCAAGTAATAGGAAGCCACTCAGAAATTCAGAGGTCAAGTTTAGTGTAGGGCATGAGAATTTGGAATAATAATAACAGAAGAAAAATAATTTATAATCTGTCTTCATTTTCTTATTTCTCACTTGCTCCACTTTATTGCCTCCTTCATCATTTCACCACAGGTTTTCCAGGGGAGCTTTAGTAAACTGTATACTATTAAATTTCATGTTTTTTTTTAATCTCACCCCTCATTACCACTATACAAATAAAAACACATTTTTTTTTTCTTTTTCTTTTTTTAATAAAACTCTTACCATCTCCGACATGAGAATCTCTCTTTTTCTTTCTTTGTCACTGGCTATTTCTATTCATTTTCATAAGCAGATTCCGCCTACCCTTTTTATTGAATAAAGGCTTATTTCTGATCATTTAACTCTTATTTTTTCACAGAAAATTGTATTCATCCCAGTGCTTCACTTATCATCTATATGACAATGACTCGCACATGTGTCTCCGCACCAATCATCATCTCCGTGGATCAAATCCATATATTAACCTGGCTCACAAAAACTTAAATTCTTCAAAGACAGTGAAAACATATGAAACCAAACTTCTCACTCTACACAAAAAGAGTCCTATTCCAGAATTTTCTCTTTTGATAAATGCCATAACTGTATGTCCAGTTACAGAACCCTGTAATATGATATTTATTCCTTATACTTTCTCTCCTTCTAAAACTTTTCTAAGTTCTATGATTTTGCTCCGAAATATTTATAAAAAAGTCTACACTTCTTCTCAGAAACAAACTCCTTAGTCTAAATTACCATTATATCTGACCTGGACTAATGAAATAGCTTCATAACTATTATATCCATATTGACTTTGGCTAACCCTTTTCCCCAGCGCCAAGAAAGAGCAATGTTTTAAAAATGCAAATTCAATCACTTAATTCCTCTATTTGAACTATCAATAGCTACCCGTTATTCCTATGGTCAAGACCAAGATCCTTAATAATAATACTGTTTGTAAGACTCTGTACCTCACTTCCTGACCTCTAGCCATGCTGCCCTCCTTTAGTGCCTTTTAGATACCAGACTCTTCCACACACTAAGCCTTTGCATATGCTGGTTTGTCTATCTGCAGTACCTGCTCTGCCTTCTCATCTCTCATTTTCACCTGGTTAACTCTCTCTTAATTTCCAAAGCTCAGTTCAAATATCATTCCTTGATTTAAGACTTCTTCAGTTGCTCTACTCATGACTGGATCTATTTTACACTGTTATTACACTATGTCCTCAAATTTAAGCACTATTCACAGATTGAATTTTACATTAAGTTTTAATAATTTGGTGAATATATACACATATATAAATTATCTTTAATAGGTCAGGCTTTCTGAGAGTAAATTCAATTGCAACTTATTTGATGAAGACTTTAATTCAACAGACTTTGTTGGATTAAAGTCTCCATAAAAGAAGTTACAGTTTATGTTTATTTACAAATATAATTTTTTGTTCTTATAAATGATTAAGTAATTAATTAAAATGTTTATAAGAATAAATTAATTAACTAATCAACATATGACAGACAACTTGCCCAAACTGTTTAGAAACATTTCAGTAAGTTTAAGCGAGAGCTTTCAATAATTTCATCAATAGATTTGAAATCACCTTTGCAAAAATTATAACTGAGAAAGTTATTGCAGTGAAAGAGACCTGACCTAACCAACCCCATTTTGCTTCTAATCTCCAAGCTGTTCTTGTTCATTCCTGGGTTTAGGCCTAAGTAACTTTTGGAGGAACTTACTTTATAGTTGAACTTTGAAACAAAGAAAATAACAGTATTTTCCCAAAACAAACACTCTTCCTGCCTGGGGACCACACTGCCTTTGCAGGGCTAACAAATTAGCCATGAGATTAGAAATTATGGTTTAGGAGTCATGCAGCTGGAGGCTGTAAGTTTCCAAACCTCCCTAAATTGCTCCTGGGAATAACATCAGTATTGTAAAACCTAAGATCAGTGTTTGAGATATTTCGCAGACCCTGCACTGGATGAATCAGCTGGCACCACCCAGTTCAATAAGCTGTTTTATCTGGTCTCGTGGCCCTTACCCAAGAAATGACTCAGCGCACGAGGACAGCTTCAACTCCCTATGATTTCATCTTGGACCCAATCAACCAGCACCCTTGACTAAATGGTGCCTTAACCACCAAAGTATCCTTAAAAACTCTGATCCCTGAATTCGTGGGGAGACTGATTTGAATAATAACAAAACTCACCTCTCTGGTACAGCCAGCTCTGCATGAATTAAACTCTTTCTCTATTGCAATTCCCCTGTCTTGATAAATTGGCTCTGTCAAGGCAGCGGGCAAGGAAAACCCACTGGGCAGTTACAGACACAGCTTCTTTCCTTCCTTACTACTTTTCTTATTACTATTCTTCCTTTTGTCCTGTCTTCCTCCATTCTTGCCCACCTGCTTTCTATCCAGTCACTATTAAGTACTTGGTATAGAGCTTTGTGCATCCTAGATGCTCAAAAACCTTTGTAAAATGAATTAATGAATCAGAATATCAATTTTCATATGGCTTGTAACACTTTCTAGTTATACAATGTTAACTAGGTTATGTTTGCCTTCTAATAGTCTGTCAAATAGAATAAGAAATGCAACGTCTACTAAAAGTTGTTTGGAAACTAAGTGGAAAAAGAAGAACAACTCATAGAAATACTTTTTAAAATTAAAAAGTTGTTATAGCTGTCATCATCATTTTTGAATGTCTATTACTATTTGTTCTGTAAACTATGCAAATCAAAATTAAGCTCTATACAATACATGGCTTTGTATATTACAGTGCTTTAGTATTAAACTCAATCTTGACTCTTAAGTCATTTCCATGGAGTTCTCTTGTGAAACCCAGAGATATTGCAATGGATGCTTTGGTTTTCATAAAATTCCACACAAATCCCACATAATACAGACTGCTGTCTATGGTTTTCTAACGAAAACATTTCGTTCTTTTGTGAGTTATGTGTCCTTTAGATAGCTACTCAGGCCTATGCTATTGAGGTTAAAGGTCTTCAGAGAATGCTTCTAAGCCTTCGTTAGGACAGTTAAAGGCAGCTATCCCAGTAAATCAGGATGGACAGCCGACTGATAGTATACTCAATTTACCTTTTAGATAAACTACACTGAGAGTAAGTTCTCAACAGGAAATAAAGGTGAATTTCACAATGGGTACAGGCCATTCCCCAGTGTTTTCACAGGGATTTGAAAATTAAAAAAATAAGTGAGGGTATGTATCACTCAGAATCAGTGCTGTATTGCTCAAAAGAATGAGTTATGGTCATAAAGGTACAGTTTATGCAGAAACTCTGATATAAAAAATGATTCTATGACTCTGACCTTTGCACTTGTTTTCTGCATATTATTTTTTCTATTTTTCATTGTTACATACCAATAATTGATTTCAGTCAGTCACTCAATCTGTATTTACCATAGTAAAAATTTTAGGGCATATTTTCTTTACTATCCCACTGTTTGAATCTCTAACCTGTCTTTTGCCTTTGGACTTAAATACTTCTATTTAAGTTTTCACGTCACATGTAAATTAACTGCCACTTGGCCAGGGAAGTCAGACATATATTTATCATGGGGGAGTTACAAGAGCATCAGAAATGAATGCTAAAATCTTGGTGTGTATTTTTAGAACCATTATATGGTTTATGTAGTGCTAATGTTTGGCTTCTTCTGAATATTCATAGGGAATCAGAGTCTAGATAAAGAAAAGAAATAGTCAAAGACGGTATAAACAACAAAGGGATTCTGGTTTTGAAGAAAAAAGTAGGGGAAGTGAGATCGCTTCAAATTCTTATTTAGAGTATATTAAATATTAACTATAGTTGAATAGTTTTCTTAATCTCTCTGAAGATATTGAGCTTTCCATCTATGTTTTCTATAATTCTTTTATATGGTAAATACAAGTTTACCATATAAACTTGTATTTATATGGTAAATACAAGTTTACCATATAAACTTGTATTTATATGGTAAATACAAGTTTACCATATAAACTTGTATTTATATGGTAAATATAAATACAATATATTTATTTATACAGTTTCTGCAGACATAAAATCGATTTTTAAAAATGGTATTCTTCCATAACATTATGAACCACACATAAAATCAACTAATTTTTTAATATATATTTAAGAAGTACTTTTATACACATAGGTACATATATTATTATGATTTGTCCAAATTGTTTTTCAGCATGCATATTTTATTTAGGAAGATATTGTGAATATATTTTCCATTAATGGGCATTAATAACAAACATCATTTTCTAGGTTTGATGATATTTAACTTAGTAAGTCCCCTTTTATTAGAACTATAGGATGTTCATTTTTTTTCTTTTTTCTTTCTTAATTTATAGACTTCTTTTATGAAATCTTTGTTTCTACTTAACATATTTTTTTCTTAGGATTAATTCCTATAGCTAGCACTTCTGGGTAGTGAGGTGAAATATGAAACGTAAGTTCTCAACAAATGCTTGTTGAGGGAAAATTTTGAATGAACAAAGAAATAAATGATTGTAAGATGTGGTACCTCCCTGGATTTCATCCCCTTCTCAAAGAGTTAATAGAAAATAAGACACAGTCATGACATTAAGATGGTTCTGGAATGGCAAGCTATGACTCTGTTTTTTATTCAACATGAAATCATCTAGCTGTGCCAAGCAGCTTCATTTATTAAAACTGCTTTAGTGAAGCATATACTGATATTTAACCTAAATTTGAGTACAGATACACTTGTGAGAAAAGAAGTTGTTTCATTTCTTTTGATTTTCGTGCATTATTCAAAGATTTAAACAATAACAGCTGTGATGATAAATCTGAAATGTTATGAACATGAAACTCTCATTTTAAGATTCACATGACAATAAGTAAAGAACACTCATATAATACCTACGCATGTTTCTTTCTTTTCCATTAAAATTATCCAAACTATAAAGAAAAATCGGCCTTTTAAAACTTCACTTGCAGGCTACTATTATGTTACAATCATTCTTTCTTCATAGAAAATGACTGCATTAAAAAAATACTAAGCAACAATTACAGTTTTCTAAACAGCATGCTCTGTATTTTATCTAATTGCTAATTCATATAAATTTTACTGTCAGTCCCCTTACAAAGTATTTGAATATGAGAAATTTTTAAAACTATATACCTATACCTGTTTGTAGCTATATATTGATTTATATTTCTTTGCAGTACATAAGTTATTGTAATACAGAGTTTAACTTTATAATGAAAACCTCATTAGGTTTGGTCATATCTGTAGCTGTAGTCTATGAGGGTTTTTTTTTTTTGGTCTATGTAATTTCTTCATTCATTCAGCAAATATTTATTGAATGCCACCTATGTTGTCCTTGCTGTAGGTGCTACAAATACAAGGAAAACAGCAGGCAAAACATCAAACCTGCAATTTACACAGATGTATTTTAAAACTTGGCCAAGTCTGAGGCCAAAATGAGCTTCCCATTTGACCTCTGCTGAATTGAATTTATCCCATCAGTTATAGCCTTTGCCTATATTTTGCATAATCAATTTTCATATTGAAAAGTCAGGCTTCTTCCATTTCCAGTACTCATGATGAAGGATATTCCTCTTTGCATCCTTGCACTTTCTTAAGTTTTATTATATATTTCTTTTCATGCATTTGTATTAGCCAAGTACAGAGTTAATGGACTTACTATTTTAGGATCCATTTGTTAAAATTTCAATTTTCTTTTAAACTCTCAAATCACTTTTATGAATTAAAGCTAGCATATCATTACTTCCTTACTTTTGCCTAAAATAGGGCATTCATTTATTTTATATTTAGAACTCAAAAGCTTTATTTTTCATTAATACAGACACACAGTGCTAATTAATAAAAGCTATTGATTACAATATCTTAAATATTCACAATAAGAAAAAAATCAGTAACTTCAAGTTGCCTCAGCACAAAGTAATAGAGTCTTGTGTTGAGAAGAAGGTTCTACTCAAAAGTCTGTCTCAAGTTGAAGATGCAATGAGTCTGTAATCAGTTTGCTTAAAGGTCAGCCAATTTAAAATTTATGTGCAAATTTTACAACGAGACTTTGTTATATTCACCTACATAGCCCCTGCTCCTATAATATGCCTAACATTTAATAAGCATTAAATATTGTTTAATTAATGAATAAATCATTAAACTTATATGAGTTGGTAACCTAGCCAATACGATCATGAAATGACTGTCAATTAGTGATTTGAAAAGTGTTATCCTTGGGAAACTATCTTAGTAAGGCTACACGTTCCTCTTTAATATTCATAAAAAGAAAAGGATAATTTCACCAGCAGGTGGACTATGTTCAATGCCTGAGTTGCATTCAGAGTAAGCTAGGGCAGTGACAGTAAGCTTTGAGCACTATGCTAGATGCTGCTCTCTCTCCAGGTCTAATGACAAGTATGATCTGAAAATATTAAGTCAGCTTTTTTCTTGTGTAGTGTGTGTGTATGTGTGTGTTTTAATTTTCTTTAATTTTCTTTCTCTTTGATAGTTCAATGGGGAAAATACTATACAAATTAGAAAGGGAAGTGAATTGTAAAATGTGCTTAGCCGTTAGGACATGCAAGAAAAGTACTGGAATGCAAAATCTCAGAGACCACATATCTTCCATTCCACTATTCTCATATTTCAGCCACACCAAATTATTATTAATCTTTAAACAACCTTCAAGTCTAGCATCATGTTTAGGGGTGTGAAAACTAGAACAAGGCTGAGTTCACTCAGCTGGGTCATTTATTAATCAAAGTATTGAGATATATTTAAAATGCAAATTAATTTATATATTTGTAAATATGTGTTGAGTACTGAATACTGACACGATACTTAATATATATATATTAATTTATATATATATGTGTAAGATTTTCTCTAAAAATATTCTTCTGTTTTTCACATTGTAAAATGCTACTGACATCAATTTTTCTGCTTTCATATGCCCAGGTATAGAGTAACGGCACACGTAGGCTAACTTGAAGAAAAAAAAATTGGGAGAAAAATAATGCTTTAAAATTTGTTTATCTAGTATCGAATAGACATGTTCATATTCAAAATTAAACGTATTGTAGGATGTAAGCATCTGATTTTAACCACATAGCAATCTCAACTAAGCAAAGTAAATAAAACTAAACCCACATCTAAGCACATCAGAGAAAAACTGAAGAAACGTGAATCAAAAGAAAATGTGTAAGTACACAATGTGGTATTGCTAACTCTAGGTACTGTTGTGCAGAGGATCTCTAGAGCTTATTCATCTTGCCTAACAGAAACCCTGTATCTTTTAACTAATATCTTCCTACTTCTCCCTCCTCCAGCAACCACCAGTCTATTCTCTGCCTGTATGAGTTTAATTAATGTATTAAATAGATAACTCACATAAGTGGAACCATGTAGTACTTGTTCTATTTTAATTGGCTTATTCCACTTAGCGAATGTTTTCCAGGTTCATCCATGTCGTTACAAATTGCAGGATCTCCTTTTTGGTAAATACCGAATAAGATTTCATTGTATGTACATACCACATTTTCTTTATCCGTTTATGTGGATTTGTTTTAAAACCTTGACTATTGTGAATAATGTTGCAATAAACATTAGAGTGAGGCTATTTCTTCCAGCTTATGACTTCAATTCTATTAGATATATATATATATATATCTAGAACTTGGATTGGTGGATTATACAGTAATTCTATTTTTAATTTTTTTGAAAAACCACCAAATTGTTTCCCATATCCAGGGCTTTTTGGTCAGCTATTTAAATTTTATAATTTGCTATCATTTCTTTAATCATTCTAAATATTTACTTACCAACATAAAACATAAAGTACCAATCAAATGAAATGTCATTATTTGCAATAATTATCTGTTAATCTACAGCTGCGTACTAAAGTCTATCATTGTATTCTTTTCTACAGGAGAGAAGACACCTCTGTATTTGTAGGCTCTCCCCACATCTTGTGAGTCACTAAAGAAAAACCAGTTGTTCCAATTGTTTTAACAAAACCAGGAACTGAGATTCTAAATTTACATACTCTCATACCATTTTATGTTTATGAGAAATACAAATCTAGAATGTGGAAGTTAAGAACTGCCTGTTTAATAAAATCATCTTGAAACAGAAAGAAGGCAGGAAGGGAAAAAAGAAAGAAAGAAGGAGACAGAAAAAGAGAAAGAAAACAAGGAAAGAAACTAGGAAAAGAGGAAGGCAGGAACAAAAGAAGGAATGGAAGGAGAGAGTGAGGAAGGGAGGGGGAGAGGAAAAGAAGGAAAGAAGAAAGAAAAGTGTTAAAAAAAAGACCAAAGGAAGAAGAGAGATGATCTAAAAAGAAGAAAACATTACTCTAGAGCTTCTCAAACTGGCATCTTATGGACCCCTAAGAATTTGTGCATTTTATATAGGGATCCATAAATTTCCTAAAATTGTATCCAAATTGTTCCATTTAATTAATCTATCTATCTAAATATCTATTGCTATGGTTTGAATGTATCCCCCAACAGTTCATGTGTTGGAAACTTAATCACTATTGTAACAATATTAACAGGTGGGTCTTTTAAGAGATGATAGGGTCACCAGGGTGGAGCTCTTGTGAATGGATTAATATCATCATCTAGGGTGTGAGTTCTCTTGGGAGTGAATCAGTTTTCACGGGACTGAGTGAGTTTTCTTGAGAGTGGGTTGTAGTAAAAGCAAGCTGGCTGCCTCTGTGATTTCCTTTGCTTGTGCTCAGCAGTTCTTCTGCTCTTCTGTCATAAGAAAACATAAAGAAGACCCTCACTAGATACCTGAGTCATGTTCTTGAACTCCCCAGCCTCCAGAACTGTAATAAATAAATTTTTCTTTATAAACTACCCAGTCTATGATATTTTGTTATAGCAACAGAAAATAAACAAAGGCATCTATCATTGTATTACTAGATATAATATACATAAATTTTATACAAACCGTACATGTTTGTGTGAATTGAATTGTGTCCCTCAAGGAGATGGGTTGAAGTCCTAATTCTGATACCTATTAATGTCTATAAATGTGTATATTCCTATGTATGTATTAGAGTAATTAAATGTTTAATACTTTTAATATCTTAAACATCACAGTGTGTATTGGGGAGGGATAATGTTTAGAGATCACCTCTGCTATTGACAATAAAGGTATTGGGGTGAAGTGTCTTCATATTTTCTGTATGTTTTGCATACTTTAAGTGTTTCAAAGTTAAAACTTAATGAATACACAGCATTTTTTATTGTGTTAAGGAAAGTGAAAATTTGCTTTTATTGGGTAATTTTAATTTGGACCCTAACTTACTAAATAAGAGCATTTCCCTGACCACTTTCTGTATCCAACTCCAACCTCTTTAATATACATAATACCTAATACCACTGTATCATTGCATTTCATCTTAGCAAGATGAAAATGGGTTCTAAGTATCTTCCAGAAGAACCAAGTTGACATAAGCTTCAACACAGACTATAATATTTTGTTTCTTATTTTTTAGGTGCCAATACCTCCAAATAGTGACAGTTACAATAATATAGAATTAGCCATGGAAATGAAAAATATAGAACAAATAATGGGAAATAAAATTAGAAAACAAGAAAAGGTATGTTGAAAGAAAAAAAGATGGGAGGAGGAAATTTATCTATATCTCTGATTAATGTGTGTTTAAAGAACGGTAGATTGTTAACAGTTATGAAACGTCCAGAACTGAAAAATTCTAAGTGTCTTCCTTAAATTCCCAACACAACATTTTTAGCCAAATGTGTAAGTAGTGATCTTAAGATTTCATAAATTTCAAGGATAAAAATTCTGGTGTTTATAATGACATTCTTATTAGAAAAGAAAAATAATCTTTTCTGATGTTTCTCTCTTTCTCTCTTTCCCCCCGGCCCCTCCCAAATTTCATGTCCTCACATTTCAAAAACAATCATGCCTTCCCAACAGTTCCCCAAAGTCTTAACTCATTTCATTAACTTCCCTACAGGAGAAAGTTAAGAAAATCTGAGAAAAGCGTTAAGCAACACAAGACAACACATACTTAAAACTTAATACAATGACAACCAAACATTTCATCTCTGGTTTCTCTGCTTTAGAAACACCTGAATATATGATTGAAGCAAAGGACAAGTCTTTATTCACAGCTTGTTTATCAGCATTCTAAAATCTGTATATTCTATTACTATCTGATGTTAAGCCAGAGTTTCAAGAAAATACATTCTTAATAATGTTTAAAATGACAACAGCACTTCTGTTATACAATTTAAAAGATCAACTGAAATGAGAAATGGAAAGAATGTTAATTTTGCCAAAAGATTAAATAAGTGAAATCCCTGGAATTTTTGACCAATAGCAGATGTCTTTACTAAGTTAAAGAAAAGACAATGTAATTCAATGAAGAAAATTTACCAAGCTCTCAGATGATGACTGACTTCTTTGAAGTCACAAAAGGGAAAAAGAACATAAGCTTGTTGTATTAGTCCATTTTTACACTGCTGGTAAAGACATACCTAAGACTGGGCAATTTACAAAATAAAGGAGTTTAATGGACTTACAGTGCCACATGGCTGGGGAAGTCTCATGATCATGGCAGAAGGCAAGGAAGAGGGAGTCATGTCTTACATGGATGGCAGCAGACAGAGAGAGTTTGTGCAGGGAAACTGCCCCCTATAAAACCACTAGATCTTGTGAAGCTTATTCACTATCACAAGAACAGTATGGGAAAGACCTGCCCACATGACTCAATTACCTCCAACTGAGTCCTTCTCA
Organism: Homo sapiens; assembly: GCF_000001405.40. NCBI lineage: Eukaryota > Metazoa > Chordata > Mammalia > Primates > Hominidae > Homo > Homo sapiens. Next base: position 55,291,994 of record NC_000010.11, read on the forward strand.
CAACACATGGGAATTCAAGATAAGATTTGGGCAGGAACACAGCCAAACCATATTATTCCCCCCTAGCCCCTTCCAGATCTCATGTCCTCACATTTCAAAACCAATCATGCCTTCCCAACAGTCCCCCAAAGTCTTAACTCATTTCAGCATTAACTCACAAGTTCACAGTCCAAAGTCTCATCTGAGACAAGGCAAGTCCCTTCTGCCTATAAGCCTTAAAATCAAAAGCAAGTTAGTTACTTCCTAGATACAATGAGGTAACAGGCATTTGGGTAAATACACCCATGTCAAATAGGAGAAATTGGCCAAAACAAAGGGGCTACAGGCCCCAAGCAAATCTAAAATCCAGCAGGGCAGTCAAATCTTATTTTATATTTTATTTTATTTTATTTCATGTTGTTTTTTGAGATGGAGTCTCACTCTTGCTACCCAGGCTGGAGTGCAATGGCATGATCTCGGCTCACTGCTACCTCCATCTCCCGGGTTCAAGCAATTCTCCAGCTTCAGCTCCTGGAGTAGCTGATATAACAGGTGCTCGCCACCACGACCGGCTAATTTTTGTATTTTTAGTAGAGATGCAGTTTCACCATGTTGGCCAGGCTGGTCTCGAAATTCTAACCTCAGGTGATCTACCCACCTCGGCCTTCCAAAGTGCTGGGATTAGAGGTGTGAGCCACCACACCCGTCCCAGGCAGTCAAACCTTAAAGCTCGAAAATGATCTCTTTAACTCCATGTTTCACATCCAGGTCACGCTGAAGCAAGAGGTCAGCTCCCATGGCCTTGGGCAGTTCTGCCCCTGTGGCTTTGCAGGGTATATTCTCACTCCTGGCTGCTTTTATGGGCTGGTGTTTAGTGTCTGAAGCTTTTCCAGGCAAACAGTGCAAGCTGTAAGTAAATCTGCAATTCTGGGGTCTGGAGGATGGCAGCCCTCTTCTCATAGCTCCACTGGCAGTGCCCCAGTAGGGACTCTGTGTGGGGGCTCCGACTCCATATTTCCCTTCTGTACTGCCCTAGCAGAGGTTCTCCATGAGGGCCGGGCCCCTGCAGCAAACTTCTGCCTGGGCATCCAGGCATTTCCATACATCCTCTGAAGTCTAGGGGTAGGGTCCCAAACCCCAATTCTTGACTTCTTTGCACCCACTGGCTCCATACCACATGGGAGCTGCCAAGGCTTGGGTTTTGCACTCCCTGAAGCCATGGCTTGAGCTCTGTGTTGACCCCTATCAGCCACAGCCAGAGAAGCTGTGACACAGAGCACCAAGTCACTAGGTTGCACATAGCATAAAGATGCTGGGCCTGGCTTACAAAACCATTTTGTCCTCTTAGGCCTCAGGGCCTGTGATGGATGGGGCTGCCATGAAGAACTTTGACATTGCCTCAGGGACATTTTCCCCATTTCTTGGGGATTAACATTCAACTCCGTCTTACTTATGCAAATTTCTGCAGCAGACTTGAATTTCTCCTCAGAAAATGGGATATTCTTTTCTATCGCATTGTTAGGCTGCAAATTTTTCAAACTTTTATGCTCTGCTTCCCTTATAAAACTGAATGCCTTTAACAGCACCCAAGTCACATCTTGAACACTTTGCTGCTTAGAAATTTCTTCAACCAGATACCCTAAATCATCTCTCTCAGGTTCAAAGTTCCACAAATCTCTAGGGCAGAAGCAAATGCTGCCAGCCTCTTTGCTAAAACATAACAAGAGTTACCTTTGCTCCACTTCCCAACAAGTTCCTCATCTTCATCTGTGACCACTTCAGCCTGGACTTCATTGTCCATATCATTTTCAGCATTTTGATCAAAGCCATTCAACTAGTCTCTAGGAAGTTCCAAACTTTCCCACATTTCCAGTCTTCTTCTGAGCCCTCCAAGCTGTTCCCATCTCTGCCTGTTACCCAGTTCCAAAGTCGCTTCCACATTTTGGGGTATCTTTTCAGCAGCACCCACTTTTCTGGTAGCAATTTAATGTATTATTTCATTTCCATACTGCTAATAAGACATGCTCAAGACTGGGCAATTTACAAAATAAAGAAGTTTAATGGACTTAACAGTTCCACATGGCTGAGGAGGTCTCATAGTCATGGCAGAAAGCAAGGGGGAGGAAGTCACATCTTACATGGATGGCAGCAGGCAAAGAGAGAGCTTGTGCTGGGAAACTCCCCCTTATAAAACCACCAGATATCATGATACTTATTCACTATAACAAGAACAAAACAGGAAAAACCTGTCCCCATGATTCAATTACCTCCCACTGGCTCCTTCCCACAACACGTGGGAATTCACGATGAGATTTGGGTAGGGACCCAGCCATACCATGTCAATTCTTATTAATGCTCTGGATTGCTCACGGTTAGTTATGGTTATGTATAGCTAGGTGTTGAACTAAAAATGTCAGAATTAGTGGTTAAATTTCCTGGCTTTCATCTGCTACCACTGTCTCTAACTTCATACTGAAGTAATGATCCCAGGGAGATGTTCTGAAGTAAATGTTCTTGGTGAAGGATGAAGATGAATCAGGGGAAATAATTCACCATTACTGGAAAATACTTCACTGTTCTTGACTCAGAAATGTATTATTTTTGTTATTATGATAATTTATTTTGATATGTTCTGCTC